>NC_000022.11:35376230-35527745 GCF_000001405.40 Homo sapiens | reverse complement strand
GAACCCGGGAGGTGGAGGTTGCGGTTAGTCGAGATCACACCATTGCACTCCAGTTCTGGGCAACGAGAGTGAAATTCTGTCTATATATATATATATATATATATAAAGAAGGAGAGAGAGAAAGAGGAAGGAAGGAAGGAAGGAAGGAAATATGTCATGGCAGAAACGATTCTGGCTACAAACTGGTAGGTGTGGGTTCAATAGTTCAAGCTCTGTCTTTAATTAACAGCGGGACCTTACTGAGCTTCAGTCTCCTCACCTGCAAAATCAACATAATACAAGCCCCATGCCTCCTGTGTTGTGCAAACCAAATGCAACAAGCACTGGGAATCGGATAAAGCAGAGTGTATTTGTGAACTCTATATTACCATGATTGTTACAAAGCCGTATTCAGACACCTCCTGCTCACAGTCAACCAGGTCACAGTTCCTTCTGACTCGGCTGTAATGACAGGCTGTCTTGGGGGACCCCCCTCACAGTGGAGGCCCCTGCCATCCCCTGCTGCTCCTCCATCCCTCTTTCCTCTGCCCCCCTCCCTCTTCTCCTGCCTTTTTCCAACATTTCCTGGTGCCTTCTGTGGGCCAGGCTTACAGAAGAAGCCGTAGGTCCGGAGACATGACACGAGGTCCCTGGTCTCCAAAACCCTGCGTATTTTGTGACAACAGATTCTGGTACATGCTTTCACAGCGGTCTGTGCAAGGCCCTTGGGGAGCACTGTGGAGGGAACACCCAAATCTGCTGGGAGGAGCAAGACCCAAGGCCAGCAAAGAGTGGGTAGAGCTCTGGGCTAGGAAGGGGTCTGAGTCCTTGTTCCAGCTCTGTCCACCACTCACTGTGTGACTGTAGGCAAGCCCCCAGCAATCTAGGCCTCAATTTCCTCACCTGTCAAAAGAGATGGTGATTCTATGCTCTTGCAACTAACTTATGCTGTGCTTCTGCCATCTCTTAGTGGGCCCAGCACTGCACTACCCGCTACAGGATATGAAAGAGAGAAGTGAAGACTTGGTTCCGTCCATTAAGAGATTCTGCAGTGAAGAAGTGTCAAGCCACAAACTCCGTTCAAAGGAGCAGTGATTGACTGATTCCCTTTTGGTGTCAGTGTTCAGCACAGCTGGGATGCCTTTCAGGGAATCTAAAAAGCCAATGGAGGCTTGGAGCGTTGACTACGGAGGCCTTTTCCAGTGCGGATTCCAGGGGCCTATGAACAGTTCTCGAGCTACCGAAGGTCAGATGCAGTAAGACATCCAGTTCAGAAGTCACAATCACAGGAAATTTAGGGGGCAGCAGCGCACGCAGCTGGGCTGGCTTGCTGGGGGAGATTTTCTGCAGGAGGGGGAGTTGGATGCAGGAAGAATGTTCCAGGCGGGAAAAACTTCCAGCAGTCCCAGGCCAACTCTGCACGTCAGGCAATCTGACTTTGGCCAAGTCACCAAATCCCCCCGCAAAGCCTTGATTTCTCCATCTGTAAAACAGGGCTGCTGAGAGATTGAGAGAGGGTACATAGGCCGGGAAGGTGGCTCACGTCTGTAATCCCAGCACTTTGGGAGGCCGAGGCGGGAAGATCACTTGAGCCCGGGAGTTCAAGATCAGCCTGAGCAGCATAGCGAGATCTCATCTCTACTAAAATTTTAAAAAATTAACCAGGCATGGTGGGGCGTGCCTGTAGTCCCACCTACTTGCAGGGCTGAGGCGGGAGGATCGCTTGAGCCTGGGAAGTTGAGGCTGCAGTGAGCCAAAATTGTGCCACTGCACTCTAGCCTTGGGTGACAGTGGAAGACTCTGTCTCAAATAAATAAATAAATAAATAAATAAATAAATAAATAAATAAAAAGAAAAGAAAAAGAGAGGGCATATAAGGTGTGCTAGAGCACAGTGCTGAGGACACAGCAGGCCCTCAGTCGCTGGCAGTTCCAGTTTTGTTTCCTGAAGGAGCTCACCCACTTCCCTCTGTCATGCACTCCTGGATCTCACCACCTAAGGGCAGAGAAGCCACCTGCTCATGGTCATCTGAACACCAGTCCCAGACTCGATTTCTCTCTCCATCTGGCCTGACAACCCCCCAGAATCACTCCTGGTTTTTCCCTTCCTCGTTTTCCCCTGGGGGCCTTTTAATTTCTTCCTCTGTATCATAAACACAAAACAAGTGTTTAAACATCTGACTCGAAGGCAATCTGGAAAGCAGAGCGACTCTTACATAAAGACCAGGCGAGGCCCACGCTTGCCAGGAGGGCCATCTGGATGCTCGCTCTGCCACCCTCCCGCCCTCCCTCTGCCTGGGAACCGCTGTTATTTCATAATTAAGGACAGTAACGAGGAGCTGGAGGGAGCAGCAGGGATGAAAAGCCTAATGCAGGCTCATCGCCCAGTGGCCCTGCCTTTGGTGGCCGCTGCTGCAATCCAGGGCTGACTCTCCTGCCCCACGACTTCCCTGCTCCTACCTGGGGTCCTGGCAGTGGAACAGGAGCCCCACTGTGGCAGAGGAGCTGGAGAAGAGGGAGGCAGCAAAACCTAGTGGTTACTCCCCCAGGAGCTGGGGACAGTCTGGGTGTGGACCTTTGCACCACCACTCCTACCTGTAACTGTAAGTAAATCACTGAGCCTTGCTGAACCTCAGTTTCCTCATCTGCACAATGGGAATAAAACTGATTTTGTCTTTTTTTTTTTTTTTTTTTGAGATGGAGACTCGCTTTTTCAACCAGGATGGAGTGAAGTGGTGCGATCTCAGCTCACCAACTGGGTTCAAGCAATTCTCCTGCCTCAGCCTCCAGAGTAGCTGGGATTACAGGCGACTGACACCACGCCTGGCTAATTTTTTGTATTTTTAGTAGAGATGGGGTTTCTCCATGTTGGTCAGGCTGATCTCGAACTCCTGACCTCAGATGATCCACCCGCCTCAGCCTCCCAAAGTGCTGGGATTATAGGCGTGAGCCACCGTGCCTGGCCACACTTTGTCGATCTGTTACCTCTGTTTATTGAGATCGTGCCTGCAAAGTGCTTAGCCTAGGACCTGCTCAAAATGAAAACAGAAGACATGGTTATTGGGGAGGGTCCTGGCTATGGCCAGCCTCAGTCTTCATGGCCACACTCCCAAAGAGAGTAGAATACAATAGGGAAACAGCATTAGGTTTTGCTGTACATGGTAAAAATTAAAACTTTGCCTAATATCAATATTAGGTAACTAATCTTTACACTAATCAGCTACTGTGTTCCTAGCTTACTATTCAATCTTGTTTTTTGGGGGTTTTTTTGTTTTTGTTTTTGTTTTTTGAGACAGAGTCTCGCTTTGTTGCCCAGACTGGAGTGCAGTGGCGTGACCTCAGCTCACTGAAACCTCCACCTCCCGGGTTCAAGCTATTCTCCTGCCTCAGCCCCCTAAGTAGCTGGGACTACAGGCGTGCACCACCATGCCTGGCTAATTTTTGTATTTTTAGTAGAGATGGGGTTTCACCGTGTAGGTCAGGCTGATCTCGAACTTCTGACCTTGTGATCTGCCTGCCTCAGCCTCCCAAAGTGCTGGGATTACAGGCGTGAGCCACCGCACCAGCCTTATTCAATCTTTAGCCAAATAAAAATAAATTTTTAAACAAAATTATCATTTAAACAGTGGTGTTAAAAACTGCAAGGCTGGCCTGGAGAAACATGTCATACCGCTAAGCTCGGTGAAGGCGAGACCTCTGTCTCCTCCAGCTGTGCTGTGAGCATGGGGTCAAGGAGATTTGACGCCTCCTTGCTCAGTCTTTAATGCCGGTGACACTTCTTTTTTCACTTCTTGGGGACATCTAATACCCGCCCTCTCCTCCTCTCAGGATCCTGGTGAGACCGATGCAGAAAATGAAGATGTGAGCAGCATCTGGAGAAGTACGACATGTTATGCAAATGCAAGCTGTTTTTAATCCGTGATGATTTATATTACTCAGACAGTGTTAACATAATCCTAGCTTGGAGGTATCAAAACGGCCCACATCTAGTTTGTAAACACATCACGTGCACGTGTGTGCACACACAATCCACACAAAGGGAGCCTGCCAGGTGCTGGTAGCAGTGAGTTCTGCCTGGGGTTATTAGGAGAAGGCTTCACAGGATACTGAATCTCGTGGTGAGCCTAGGAGGAGAAATCTTGCAGGGAACAGTCCTGGCACTGGGACTCAGGGCCCCAAGGACGTTTCTGGCTCCCTCTTGCCACCAGGTGAGCTGGCCACATCCGCTGTGAGTCTGGGGCTCTGGCCAGGACTGCTTCCTCCCCCTACCCAGGCTAAGGGTGGGAGAGGCTGCTGCCTCTGGACTGGCCTCTGTCCCCCACCCCCCATTCCCCGGGTGTAGGAAGAGACAGGTGTGTGCACCCAGAACGAATCCTGGAGAACCACCAAGGCCGGCGCTGGCCCCAGGGTGCAGGTGTCTGACGCTGCTGAATAAATCATGATGGTGCCCAGTGAAACTTCTCCCCACCCAGAGGAGCTTTCTCTGCCTTCCAGATGCTATCTCCCCGCAGAAAGCCAGGTGGCATGTACGTGACCCTTCTTCAGCAGATGGCGAGCAGGGGTGAGCTTTCCACCTGGTCAGGCTAACATTTCCTAAGCTGGAACGAGCCTTTTCAGGGATCCACGCGAACCCCCGGCAAACTGTTCCCAGCACGGCACTCTGCACCCACCATCCTCGCTGCCTGCTTACCTGCCTGTGTCCTCCCTCAGACCCAAAGCTTCAGAAGGCCAGGAAGTGCCCCCTTGTCCACCAGTGTCTGTGTCCATCTTCTTTGTATTTCCAGGGCCTAGAACAGAGTAAAAGCTGGATCCAGAAAGAAAGAGAGGGGGACAGAGAGAGAGAGAGAGAGCGAGGGAGAGGGAGAGGGAGAGAGGAGGAGAGAGAGGAAAGAGAGGGAGAGAAAGAGGAAGAAAGGGAAAGAAAGAGAAAGAAAAGAGGAAGGAAGGAAGGAAGGAATGAGAATGAAGGAAGGAGAGGGAGAGAAAGAAGAAGGAAGGAAAGAAAGAGAAAGAAGGAAGGAAGGAAAAAAGAAAGAGGAAGGAAGGAAGGAAGGAGAAAGAAGGAAGGAAGGAGAGGGAGAGAAAGAAGGAAGGAAGGAAAGAAAGAGAAAGAAGGAAAGAAAAAAGAAAGAGAGGAAGAAGGAAGGAAAGAAAGAGAGAAAGGAAGAAGAAAGAAAAAGAGAGAGGGGATATATTATTTTCCATGATGACAGCCGAATATCTCCAGACCCCTCCACTTCATCGAATCTCTCTTTAAGAAACCCTCAAGCCAGTGAATCTTCCTATTATTATCTCCCGTTATATCAAGATTCCTGTCTAAAATGCCTTGGGAGCAGTTTTACTCGATTCCAGAAAAGATGAATAGCCTGCTTCCTGACATAGATGAGTAAATAACTCTAGATTCTCTATTTTTGCCCTGGTTTCTTACGTTGATACAGCAATCAAGCTGACGTGGCATTGCCTTGATCTAGTAATCCCTTTTATAAAATGACCTTTAGAATGTAACATATTTCCAAGCAAAGAGTCAGTGAAATAAGGTAATTTACTCTGGGTAGCATATCTTCCAATATTCTTGGGCCAAAAGTAACCAAATATGAGAGGGCCAGATAAAGAGGAGCTGTGAGGATTAATTACTCATTTTGGTTGAGTGCTGCTGCTGAGTGGCGGGGAACAAATCTTTTTCTAGAGAGAGAGGGAGGATAGGAGACAGAGAGAGAGAGGCAGAAGCACAGACAAAGAGAGAGAGAGAGAGAGACAAGGCGGCAGAGAGAGGGAAAGAGAAGAAATAATCCGGGTGATGTGTGGGTGCTTCCTGTTCTCCCACAAACAGGAATCTGGGCTTTCTGGCCCCGGCTGATAACGAGCAGCCGCACAACAGTCTCACGTGTGCGCCCAATTTCCATCCTCTGGAGGGCCTCCACGTTCATCATCTCACCTAATCATCCCACTCAGAGCTGCAAGAGGGCAGAAAGGTCACCTTGTCTCATCTTGAACCTCGGCATCCTCCCAGAAGGCCCACCCAACCCCTGCTGGCCCGAGATATCACCCAGGGTCAGGTGTGGTGCCGTGGAAAGCAAGCCCGTGAACCTTGGAGCCAAACCTGAGTTCTTTCACTAGACAGCTTTGTGGCATTGAGTCTGGTACTTGCTGTCTCTGGACCTCTGCACCTGGGCTGGGAGAGCAGGGCACAGCATGTCTCTCTCAAGAGGGATGATCTGAACATTACTCAGTGATTAGGAATTCTGGCTTCCGGGCAATCAGAGCTACACTCGATTTTTGGTGCTGCCATTTTCAAGATAGGTGACCTTGAGCACACTGCTGAATCTAGATGGGCCTCAGTTTCCCCATCTGAATAATGGAGATGATAACAGCACCTCTTCTAAGATCATTGGGAAGATTACATGAAACGAAGTAGCTCAGGACCAAGGGGGAGCAGTGCTCCTGGCCAACACTCACACAGCGCTTTGAAGCACTTACTATTTGCCAGGCTCTGCTCTGGATAGATGTATAGACGTGTCTGTGCACATGTGCGGTAATCCTTAGAGCAGCTCCCGAGTCAGGTAACATTATTTTCCCCAGTTTACAGATGAGGAAACTGAGACACAGATGGGAAGTAACTCTCCTGGGATCACACAGCTGATTAGTGGCAGAGTCAGGATTCGAACCCAGGCCATCTGGCTCCAGATGCTGAGTCCTCACCCTAGCTTACTGCTTCTCAGCAAGGGCTCAACCAATTATAGCCATTTCCATTCAGTTCCCAGACACATTGCAAATGCCTAATCCAAGCTCATTCCCCTGCCTTCACTCCATGGCCCTTGTGTAGAATTGAAATCTGTCTTCTTACAGTGTCTACTTATTTGTCCCCAGGAACTATCTCTAATCTCTAATGCCTTGTCACAGCCATTCTACTGCTTGTAGATCAATTGGCTGATTTCCCATGAATGTCTTCTCAGGCTAACCTTGTCCCATTATTCCCTATGGGAACCCTGATTGATTTATCCTGTTCTAAACGTGCCTTAACAACCACATGCCAAGCACTGGGCTGGGTGCAACATGAATTTGGAGGCTGATCTCTTGGTTCTCCCCCATCAGGTGGGCAGACTAAGGGTCCCTGCCCCATTCCGATCACTCCCCATGGGATCCGCTCCAGTTTGGTTACAGCCTCTAAATGCTGGGGCCTGGACATCAGCCCACACTGCTTTAAGCCTCCATGGCCACCCTGGGAAGTGAGCAAGATGGAAGTTGTTCCTCTTGGGACAGATGAGGCAACTCAGGCCCAGAGGAGGAGGTGACTTAACTCAACGCCATACAGCAAATCCCTGAAGCAGGTGGTCTGGAACTCAGGCCCCAGTTTTCATAAACTCACATATCTGACTTCAGCCTGCTGACACCTTCCTTGGATTTGGGAAGAGGTGGAATAGGAGGGACCTCATTTTCTGCTGCGGGGGAGAAGGTAGAGACCTGCCGAGCCCAGATTGGCCTCAGTATCCACCTGGGGTTTGCAAAACCTGCCTGGGGGAGGCAAAATCACCCTTGGTTCCCTTCTTCCCCTGTGTCTCAATGGACATAGAGGGGTACCTGATGTCCTTCCCCTGGTCTGAAAGACATGAAGGCTAAAAAAAAAAAAAAAACAAAAAAAATCCTGAGAGGTTAAAATTAGTTTTCCACCTTCTTCTGCCCCAGAAAGAGCTGACAACTCACCTGGAAGGAACTCTCCTTTCTGGGAGCTGAGAGGGGCGCTGCATGGGGGTGTCGGCGTCGGGGCTGGAAGGCTGTTTTTTTTTCCCCACCTCCATCATTTCCCTCCCCCACAGAGAAAGCTTGGCACTTTATTCTATTTTAATAATAAAAGCCAAAAGAGATTTGTTTCTGCCACAGGCCCGGTCCCCCTAATGAGAGTATCAAGAAGCTCTGGGGCTTAGCACCGGGCTCAGACGCAGGGAGTCCTGCAGGTCACAGTGGCTGACAGTTAAGGCCAGTGCCAGGCAGCAGCGACAAGAGTGCAAAGGAAGGCAGAAGAACTTGTGTAGTTCCTGGCCCCGCCCAGACCCCTTGTGGACCCTGAGCCCCTTCCTTCCCCTGGCTGGGCCTCAGTCCCCTTATCTGTAAAGCGGGCTCCTACTGCCTATCTGAATGGGATCCAGTGAGATGGGAAAGGGAAGACAAGGACCTCCCCTTAACTGGATGCTGCCTGCTGTATAGACGCCAGGCAGGGACCAGGTGCATAGCATAATGGTTTCATGTCACCACTCTCTGAGGCTGCTGTCACTAGGCACATCTTCTAGTAGAGAGAGTGAAGCTTAGGAGCATGAGCTGTGCTGGTATTCAAGCCTACATCCTGGTAACTGTGGGGCCCAAGCTCTTTCCCAGTGGCCCATCTGACTGCGTTTTGCAAATTGTTCTGTGCCTTTCGAGTATGCATGGTCACTCCCAGGATTATTCCAGAGAAGCCCCCTGAGCTCCATGGCTGCCCCTGGCCCTGCTCTCAAGTCAGAAGCCCTGAAGCCCCTTCTAGGATCAGGAGCCCCAGAGGCCTTTCACCTGGCTCCCATCCATCCATTGCATCTCCCACCCCTAGAGACGGTCCTTCTGCATTCCAGCGCCGTGTGCAGCAGGAGTGCCCCCTACCCACGTACCCCACACCCCTTACATGCAAGAACTTCCCACAGAGAATGAGAGAGGGAGCAGGGGATGGTAGTTTCCATAGCAACCTTGGGCTTCTCATTCCCAGCACATAAAATGCCAAACCAGGGTTGGAGAGGTGCAGTCCCCTCTCTCATTGGAGAAGGTTCTCTCCTCCTTCTCCACCCGCGCCACCTCTACCTTGCTTGGTCCCATCCAGACAAGGAGTGCTGGAGGAGGGGCTCTGGGGACACATGGGCTGCACTCCATGGATGCCAAACCCACCTGGGGCTGAGGGTGGCCTGGAGGTGTCCCCAACCAGTGCATGATCGGAAGGAGGAGCAGAGAGCAGAGGAAAAGGGGGAGGGGAGGAGACGGAGAACAGGATGGTCACAAGGCACCCCCTCCCCTCCTTCCTGGGAGAGAGCTGACCCTAAGGACGGACTCTGCTAATGCTCAGAGGCTGTGGGTGCCCCAGGACAGTGCGGGCTCTCCTTGTAGTCAGGGGCCTGGCCTCTGGGGTCCACTGGACCTCAGTGTCCATCCAGGCTCTGGCACAGATTTGATGTGTGGCCCCCGAGCCACAGTGTTTTTTGCATTCTGAGGTGCAGTGCTTGGTATCTCAGAGTGCAACAAATGATGCTTGTTCTTATTGCTTTGCTATTATCACTAATAACACTGAAGTCCAAGCACCTCGGCCTGGCAGGGGACATTCCGCAGCCCTCCGTTCTGCTCTTGTCAGTTACCCACCCACGACATGAACCCTCTGCTGAGGCCCAGCCAGCTGCTCAGCCCTATCTGTGGACTTAGCTGAATCAGAGGGTGTGGCGGATCCCGGGAAGCTGGCTTTGCACACAAAGCCCAGTCCTACCTCCCAGCCTTTGCTCAGGAGCCCCTCCTGTCTGAAGTTCCTTCCACATGGTCCTTATTCAAATCCTCCCCATTTACATGGCCCAGCCCAAGCTCTCCCTCCCTTAGAAAGTCTTCCCAGCCCACAGGGGTCTTGCCCTCCCCTGAGATCACCTTGTTAGTTGATCCCAACTCTGTCTGTTTCCCAGGAGCACCTTTCCTTCATAAAGAACCACCATTGCACAGCTCTGGGGGGCAGGCTGCAAGCGCATTTGTGGACCACATCCAGGGTGTTGTTCACTGTGCTAAAAATTGATACATTGGACAGCACCCAGTGCCCCGCCAACACCCCACAAATCCTTACCACTCCAGAGGCTTCACATGCATGCTCCCTTAATCCTAACAATCTCAGAAAATGGGTAGTGCTGTTATCTCCATTTAAAGGATGAGGAAACTGAGACTCACAGATGTTGAAGGATCTTCTTAAGGTCACACAGCCAGAAAGTGGCAAAGTCAGAATTCAAACCCAGGACCCTTTATGGAAGCAACAAGGCTAAACAGCATTCATGGCCAGCACCAAAATCCATCCTGAGGAGGAAGCGTCCTTTATTTGGAAACCTTGGAAAAGTCTCTCTGTTAGGAGATGACAGATGAGCCCAAGAGCTCAGGAGACTAATAAAACCTGAGATTTCATGAGCACCTGCTGTATACGAGGTGCTTCCCTAAGTACTTGATGTTGGTTAACTCAGTTAATCCTCCCAACAACCCTTGGAGAAAGGGGTTAGCACTAATTCCATCTTGGCGATGAAGAAACTAGGAAACAAGAAGTGATGAAGCCATCTTGAGGTCATACAACTAGTCAGCAGGGGGCAGGATTCAAACCCAAGCCAACTGGCTCCAGTTCCCATGCTTGCAACCCGTCTGCTAATGAGCTAAACTGCTCTGCATAAGACAAGGAGTGAGGCCGGGCATGGTGGCTCAAGCCTGTAGTCCCAGCACTTTGGGAGGCCGAGGTGGGTGGATCACCTGAGGTCAGGAGTTTGAGACCAGCCTGCACAACATGGTGAAACTCCGTCTCTACTAAAAATACAAAAAAAAAAAAATAGCCAGATGTAGTGGCAGGCGCCTGTAATCCCAGCTACTCGGGAGGCTTAGGCAGGAGAATCACTTGAACCTGGCAGGCGGAGGTTGCAGTGAGCTGAGGTTGTGCCTCTGCACTCCAATCTGGGCAACAAGAGTGAAACTCCATCTCAAAAAAAAATACGAGGAGTGAAATTTGTCGCTTTGCTCCTGAGAGAAGAAGAGGAGGGACGGTGGCAATCAGTATAGACAGGTGATATATAAAGAAGGCATCAAAATGGGTCACGATGGGCGAATGTGGATAGACAGCCAGTGAGAACCCCGGTGGTAGGTGGTGAGAGGCTTCTTAAGAACTCAGATGCCTGGTGTGCATGGTTACGTTACTTGCATTTCTGACAGAATCCCTTGGGCTCTCCCAAGAAATCTTTAGCGAAGTGCTCTCTACTCTAATGACTGTGTTGTGGGAGTGGGCAGGGGGAGAGGAAAGAAGTTGAGTGGACAAAGAAAATTACCTTTAGTGAGCCCATATGGGGAGAGAGAATGGGTATTTAGGAGATTAATAAAGCTAACCTTTGTCTCACACATGCATACATGTGTGCATGCACACATACACACAAGCTGTATGCAAGTTTGAACTTTTGCAGCCTATTTTGCATCCTTTTGTGAGACTTGAAGAATGGCCAGAAATAAAGAAACAGTGGCCAGGCGTGGTGGCTCGCACCTGTAATCCCAGTATTTTGGGAAGCTGAGGTGGGTGGATCACTTGAGGTCAGGAGTTTGAGACCAGCCTGGCCAACGTGGTGAAACCCTGTCTCTGCTAAAAATACAAAAATTAGCTGGGCATGATGGCAGGCACCTGTAATCCCAGCTACTCAGGAGGCTGAGGTGGGAGAATTGCTTGAACCTGGGAGGCGGGGGTTTCAGTGAGTAGAGATTGTGCCACTGCACTCCAGCCTGGGCGACAGAGTAAGACTGCAAAAAAGAAAGAAAGGAAAGGAAGAAAAGAAAAAAGAGAGAAAGAGAGAGAGAGAGAAAGAAAAAGAAAGAAAGAGAAAAGAAAGAAAGAGAGAGAGGGAGAAAGAAAGAGAAGAAGGAAGGAAGGAAGGAGAAGGGAAGGGAAGGGAAGGGAAGGGAAGGGAAGGGAAGGGAAGGGAAGGGAAGGGAAGGGAAGGGAAGGAGGGAGGGAGAGAGACTGTAAAGGCCAATGGGAAGCAGCAAGACTTAGGAGAAAGTTTGAAAGGTTTGCCAGCGGAGAAGCGTAAGAGTGAAATGTAGGCTAGGTGCCGTGGCTCACACCTGTAATCCCAGCACTTTGGGAAGCTGAGGTGGGCAGATCACCTGAGGTCAGGAGTTTGAAACCAGCCTGGCTAACATGGTAAAACTCCATCTCTACTAAAACAAAAACTAGCTGGTGTGGTGGCATGCACCTGTAATCCAAGCTACTTGGGAGGCTGAGGCAGGAGAATTGCTTGAACCCGGGAAGCAGAGGTTGCAGTGAGCCCAGATCATGCCACTATACTCCAACCTGGGCAACAGAGCAAGACTCTGTCTCAAAAAAAAAAAAAAAAGAAAGAAAAGGAAAAGAAAAAGAAAAAAGAAAATATGAGTGAGAACTGGCAAGACAAAGAAGAGAGTTTTGAGAAATGGTATGAAATATGATGGAGGTCCTCTTCAGGGTGATTTGAAAGATGAACATAAAAATTGGAATCCCCCTCCCTTTTTTTCTCACACGAGATCTTGCTATGTTGCCCAGGCCAATCTTGAACTCCTGGGATTGAGGGATCCTCCTGCCTTAGCCTTCCAAAGTGCTGGGATTACAGGCATGAACTACTGTGCCCAGCCTGGAATTACTTTTTAATTACCTTTGTTTACTGGACTGTGCATCCTGAATACAACTCCATCCAAAATCTGGGCCATATGGGACCCTTGCTTTTAATAAGATTACAGTAGAAAATAAGAAAAAAAATGATCTTTGAGTCTCATCAGTTTTGTGTGAGACAAAGGCGATGCTAAGAGAAGCAATCTCCTGGAGACACCAGGTAACCTTGACAATAGGAGTCCCGACCCTCCCTCCAAATTCACAGAAATGCTGATGTAGACTCCAGAAGGCATAGAATTGAGGAGTTCATACTAGTATTTTATTATTATTATTATTATTAAAGACAGGGTCTTGCTCTGTTCCCCAGGCTGGAATGCAGTAGAATAATCATAACTTCCTGCAGCCTCAAACTCCTGGGCTCAAGCAATTCTCCTGCCTCAGCCTCCCAAGTATCTGAGACTACAGGCACAGGCCACCACACCCAACTAATTTTTTATTTATTTTTTGTAGAGACAGAATCTTGCTATGTTGCCCAGGCTGCTCTCAAACTCCTGGCCTCAAGCGATCCTCCCACCTTGGCTTCCCAAAGTGCTGGGATTACAGGCATGAGCCACCGCACCTGGCCACATAAAAGTATTTTTGAAGTTCTCAAAGTGTAGGAAGGCTCTAGCTGATATTTGAATTATATAGGAATTATTAACTACTAGAAAAATGCAAAGAAAATCTGAGACTCCCACTCCCTCCCCTGCCAGCTAGCAACTGATGAATAATCAAGCCTGACATGCTGTTTCTAGTTCCCCAAGTCTAGAAGAGTTTGCTAGGCTGTTGCAGCACAGCACACCTGTGACACAATACTTGTCATTGTTCCTCTCAATGCTGAGTTATTTTAGTAAGCCTGCATAGAACTCACCTGGAATTCTGTTCTGAGCCTCCCTCACTAATTTCTTTGGCTCTTTCCAATTCTAGCGATTTGTAAACCACACATCTATCTGTAATCTACGGGGTTGCCCAACCAGCAGAGTTTTGATGCCAAGGTAGCTTTTCCCGTGACATCTGTTATGCAAGTAGAGACCCAAAAGGGATCTCCCTGATCATATAAACTGACAAAGGCGGCCCAAATAGAACTGTCCCTACCCTTGGGAATGATCTTGCCTGGGCCCTCAGTGAATGTTTATGGAGAATCCCACTGAACAGTGAGATCTGGAAGGCAGACATTATGTCTTCATCATCTCCTTTCCCTGTGGCCTTCCCCACTAGATACAGCACCTAAGAATTCCTGAACAGCCACCATTTACCTGCCTGCCCAGGCTAAAATCCTAGCAGTTGTCCTTGGCTCTGATCTTGTTCTTGCTCCACATATCCAAAGTGACAGCAAATCCTACTAAATCTGTCCACTTGTCCCCATCTGTCCTACCCTACCCACCATCATTTCTTGCCTGAATGAGAGCAGCAGCCCCTAACTAAGTCAGAGTGTTCTTTGAAAACAGAAGTCAGATCATGTCACTCCTTCCAATAGCTCCCCTAGACCTTTAACTAAAACCCCAAATCCTTACTATGCCCTGGAAGACCCCCATGGGCTGGCCCTGTCCATCTTTCTGCCCTCTTTTCCTGCCTTTCTCCCTCTGGCTCTCCCTGCTCCAGCCTACAGATCTCCTTGCTGGCCCCTCAACATAGCAAACATGACCCTCTCCCAGGGCTTTGCACTTGCCATTCCCTAAACCTAAGATGTTCTTGCCCCAGAATTCTGCACTGCTCACTCCCTCATTGTATGTGAGTTTTTGTAAGTCATTTCTTTTAAATGCCCTTCACTGATGATCCTCTCTAAAATTGCATCTCCTATCACTCTCTATCCCCTTGCCCTGATTTATTTTTCTTCATAGCATTTGTCCCTGCCTGTCACTATAGTACACACACACACACACACACACACACACACACACACACTATCTCTCTCTCTCTCTCTCTCTCGTTAGAGACAAGATCTCACTTTGTCGCCCTGGTTGGAGTGCAGTGATGTGATCATAGCTTACTGTAACCTCGAACTCCTGGGATCAAGTGATCCTCTTGCCTCCTGAGTAGCTGGGATGGTACTGTACCTGGCTCTATTATATTTTTAATCGGTTACATTGCCCTTCTCTTGCACTAGGATGTTAGCTTCCTAGCTGACATCAGGGGGTTGGTTTTCTCCACTGTTGAGTCCCCATTGCTAGAGCTTGGCACACGGTGGCTGCTTTATAATTATTTGTTAAATGAATGAATGAGTCATGTGTTGAAATGAATACAGGATGAAGTACCTAGCTGTTAAATTAATGACAGAAAAGAGATTTTAAAATTAGGGTAGTGTGATTGCCATGAGGATGATGTAATCCCCAGACCAGCTGCATCAGCATCTCTTGGAAGCTGGTTGGAAATGCAAGTTCACAGGCCCCCCTTAAACCTACTGAATCAAAAGCTGCGGGGTCAGGGGCCAGCAGCAGCCTGCATTTTAACAAACCTTCCAGGTGGTTCTACAGCACACTCAAACTTGAAACTGCTCTCTGCTAAGGTCCCCTGAGCCAAGTGTCTGACTCCTAAGCCCACACTCTTTCCCTTTCCTACCGTCATTCTCATGGAAAACATGGGAATAAGCAATAATGATGATCCTGGTAAAAAGGGGGTAACTTGGCAAAGACTCTGCTCGTGAAAGCAGAATTCATGAGGAACACATGCTGCTATGAGTATGGGAGCTCCAACTTCAATTGTTTAAACCCCAAAGGGGCTGGCCTGGCACCTCCATGAAGTCTTCAGAGACTGAAGGTCCTTAGATTTTTTTGCTCTGCCATCCTCAGCATGTAGCTTCCCTCCTCAAGGTCTCATCATAGGTCCAGATGGCTGCTGAAGCTCCAATCATCACATCTATGTTCCAGGTAGGAAGCAAGAGGGAGAAGGAAAGGACACAAAGGGTCCATGCTGTGCTCTTCTTACAGAGACTTCAAAGCAAAACCTAGTGCTTCCATCTCATCGGCCATGCCAACTGCTCTGGGAAAGATATCCTTTTAATTGAGCACATTGCTGTCCAGAATAAAACCAATGCTCTGTTACTAAGGAAGAAAGAGAGAATGGATGCTGTGTAGACAACTAGTAATGTCTTCCATAACAGCTGAGGTCTTTCTGCTCCTTAAGATGTAGATAAGAATGATTCCAATTCTCATCTATTTCCCAAGGAAGTTCCAAGTCCTCTCCAACACTGATGCAAATTCTCCAAGTATTTATAGGCTGATGATCACCTCTAGCTCCTTTCTGCTGAGTTAATTCCATTTATGGATTAGATCACCATCCTGCATGTTCTGGCCATTTGGGGTCAATCCAATTGTGGAACCCAACCCCTAACCCTACATGTACACACACACACACACACACACACACACACATACTTGCAGGGCATTTCTGTGTATAACAGACTGTACTTAAGATTGAAGGGGATGGGCTAAGAGCTTACATCACAGCAGAAGATTGAAAGACCTGCCCATGTCTACCCAACTAATAAGATTCATACAGAACAGTTCAATTCATATGGATTATAGAACATTAAATATTCATGTGCTTAAAAGACCTTAGTCATTGGCTGTTTTGTCCCATTTGAGGGGCTTTATCCAGCCCAAGTGCCCCACTTTCCTCCTCATTTCCGTATCCTAGGTCATAGGTTGGCTCTGCAGAACTAGCATCTGAGACAGAGGTCCCTGTGCAGATCATCCATGGAGGGAAGGAGTACTCTCAGGAGGGACTTGTAAGGAAGTGGGGGAGTCAGGATAGGGCAGGGGAAGAAGCCAGGCAGGAATGTGGGGACTGTGGAAGCCCAGCCTCAGCCAGGTCCTACCAGAAGCTCTGGACTGTGGAAGGAACCACAGATTTATCCTACCTTGAGCCCAGGGACTTGGGCTCTTTGACCCCTTGTATAGGTCAGTCATTGAATGAGGACAGGGCAGTGTGATCTCCCAGGCTTCTTGGTTGGGGGTGGTTCTCAGTTTAAGGGTACAACCGACACTCCCAGTAGGAGGGGCCTGGGTGTTTCATTCCTGCAATGGGGATCTGGGCAGGTCACCAACAGTGCTTGTGATATTCTGCCTTCTCCATGGCCTCTAGAAATGCTAAATTCTCTTCCCTTATTTAAGCAGAAGATTTAACCTCCCCACCACCCCAGCTCCCCACTCCCAAACACATTTTTTGCAAACCAATCAAACCTGTTTACCTGCTCTGCAAAACACAAGCCAGCTCCAGGCCTGGATTTAGAAGGCAAAGGGTTTCAAAATGCAGCTCTGTTTTCCTCACTAGATGCTGGATACCTCGAAGGCCTGATTCTGAATCCCAGGCTGAATGCACTCATCTCGCCCCAGGCTGTAGGACGTGGAGATTTTTTTTTGTTTTTCTGGCAAAATTAAATTATTTCCCTCGTTAGCCCACCTTCCTGAACTTTGGGGTCAGTGGGCCTCACCAGCTACTCCCAGCTGCTATCGGGGAGGGGGTGACCACCTCCACGTGACCTGCTCATTAGCTTGGGTCCATCAGCAGGTGATGCTGAAGCTCTTGAAGGAATTGTGTAATCCTGAGCTGTGCAAGTTTATTTTCACTAAAAATACACCCTGAAACTGGGGCACGATGAAGGATTGCTGACAAATGGGGAACAGGAATGAAAAAAAGACTCCGGGGCTGTCTGATTCCTCACTGAGTCACCTCCAAACCGTCACAATTGAGCTCAGTATGGACCCTCTCCACCCCTCACTGGCATCAGTAAAAGTTCAGGCAGCTCACTGAGGCTTTGGGGGGCTTGTGAGTCACTGTTAGGAGACGCCACTGCTGTCATGCAGCCCCTCATTTTCCCAGGAAGAAAATGGAGTGAGAGGAAGTGACTTTGCCCTGGGTCAGGCCACTAATTGGTGGTGGAGTCAGGGAGAGTCCATGTTGGCTGACCCATAGGTCAGCGCTTTCCCTCCTGTCTCCTTGTGCCTGAACTTCCTATGTGCTTCCTAAGGAGGTGAAGGCATCCTCACCCAATCAGTAAAGAATGCTTTCAGCTTCAAGTTGCAGAAAATCAAAGCAATGGCGACTGGGCTGTAAGGACAATAGTGCTTACCTAATGAACCCTCTGGGGGGAGATTATCAAGAAGGATCCAGGCTCTCTCCACACTGCCTTTCTCAGCATTTAGACTTTTCAGCCTCAAGCTTATCGCCTCATGTCACAAAATGGTTGCCACAGCTCTGGACATCAAGTCCTCATAAATGATACCCAAATGATATCCAAAGCTAGATGGAGTTTTACACACACACACACACAGAGAGAGAGAGAGAGAGAGAGAGCTGCAGTCTCCCTAGGTAGCCATCTCTTCTATAGGGAAGCCCTTTCTTCTACAGGGAAGGAAAAACTTTCATTACAGTTAATTGGCCAGAATACAATTAATTAACTCCCAGCATCACACAGGGACTTTGTATTGAAAAAAAGACAAGAACAACTTGAAGAACTGAAAAGATGGCAGGGGGAGGGTGAAGATGTCTCTTGATTCAGGGGCTGTGCCTGTAGCCCTGGCTGTGTGGGTCCATGCTAGAGGGTGTCTGAGAGCAGAAGTGGAGGGGCTGGGGGGATTTGGGAGAGGCCCGCCGATTTTCTGGGAGGAGGCATCCAGGGACAGGCTTTGGAAAGCTCTAGGGAAAGGGTGGGACAGCCACTGCGAGGGAGGAGGGAAGGGCAGTGAGGGCCAGGCTGAGCCGCTGGGGCTGGGGCTACTGGCTAGCAGGGGCATGTGGCTGAGAGGCCAGGTGGGGCAGCTGGGAGAATCCGGCCCCACAGGCGGCACCTGCACCGCCCTCCCAGCCCCACCTCCGCTGCGTTGAATAACCTGGTCAGGTTGCGCCTCTCCAGGGGGGGGAGTCTCAGCTTTTCTGTCCATTACATGAGAGTTTGATTCATTTTGTTTTTCATTCTCTCTTTTATTTATTAGTCACTCATTCAACAAATACTTACCAAACTCCTGCAGGAGGCATGTAATGTCAGAGTTGGTAGTGATATTAGCTGACTTGCTTAGCTGAACCTCAGTTTGCTTGTCTGTAGAATGGAGATGATCATTGTACCTGTCTCCAGGCATTCATGTTGATTACAGGAATGTGCTATGTGTAAAGTGCTGACAACGGGGCCTGGCACATGGTAAGCACTCGGCAAATGCTAGCTGCTGTCTTTGTGTTCCATGGAACTGTGCTGGATCCTGGAGATATGGCAATGAGTAAAGCAGGAGAACTGCTGCCCTGGCACTGCCAGTCTAGTGCAGGATTCCTCAAGTCCCATGATCAAATAATATCTCAAAACAGAATGGTGATAAATGGTGGTAAGAGATCTGAAGTGGCATCGCCGAGTCCCATGACCCTAGGACCTGGCCAGGCATGGGGATCATGGAAGGTTTCCATGAGGAAGCAGTTCTCAGGTCAAGATCTGAAAAATGAAAAATGAGGGGGCTTCACTAGGTGAAGTGGAGAAAGAAATCTTCCAGGCAATGGGAGCAGTGTGTGTACAAACCCTGAGGTGGGTGAAGCCAGCATGCTGGAGAGACTGAGAGGAGGCCCGAGGGTCCCAACTCTGGGTGGCAAGGAGATCCCAAAGAGGGAGTCAGGGCTGCCCGAGCCTGACCCTGGGGCCTTATTATAGACTCGGTGTTTTATCCTCAGTGAAAGGGGAAGCCATTGAATGGCTATCAGCAGAGGAATGACATGATCATTGTGATTGTGTATGTGTGTGTGTGTGTTTCTAAAAAAATGTATCTCAGCCAGGCACACTGGCTCACGCCTGTAATCCCAGCACTTTGGGAGGCCAAGGTGGGAGGATCACTTGAGGCCAAAAGTTTGAGACCAGCCTGGGCAACATCGTGAGACCCTGTCTCTTAAAACAAAGGGGGGTGGTGAAAGGAGACTTTTCTCTGCCTACCCTTTTGCACCTTTCTAATTTTGAACCATGTGTTTACCAGTTTAAATCAATCCATCAAAACCTTAAAAATAAAGCAGCTCCTCTGGCTGCCACGTGGAGACCAGAAGATGGACTGAGAGTAGAAGGTAGCAGGTCACTGAGGCACCTACTGGGGTCGTCTGGGGTCATACCTGAGGTTCATTGCTTCACGCCAAGGAAATCAAGGACAGGAACACACGAGGCACACAAGGAGTGAGGTTAAGAGCAGAGGTTTAAATAGGCAAAAGAAAGAGAAATGCTCTCCTTCCTGCAGAGAAAGAGGAGATCCCAAGAGGGTTTTCCGGTTCCCTAGTGAAATGCACCAGGTTTTATAGATGAGCTTGAGGAGACAGTGTCTGATTTACATAGGGCCCAGAAGATTGAGCAAACCAAGTGTTCCATTTACATAGCTCACGAAGAAGCTGGCTTCCCGCCCTAATCTTTTTTTGAGGCAGAGTCTCGCTCTGTCGCCCAGGCTGGAGTGCAATGGTGTGATCCCAGCTCACTGCAACCTCCGCCTCCTGGGTTCAAGTGATTCTCCTGTCTCAACCTCCCAAGTAGCTGGGACTACAGGCACACACCACCATGCCTGGCTAAGTTTTGTATTTTCAGCAGAGACGGGTTTCGCCATGTTGGCCAGGTTGGTCTCCAACTCCTGACCTCAACTGATCCTCCCTCCTCGGCCTCCCAAAGTGCTGGGATTACAGGCGTGAGCCACTGCGCCCGCCCCCTAATCTTTTATTACACAGATGGGTCCTCTACCTGGCTGGCTCCATGTTCCCTGTTTCTTTCTGTACATGTGGTGACAAAGAAAAGGGAAAATGGAGCCTCCATGTTGAAGATACCTGGCTTCCAGATAGCCTTTTCCTATTGGCACAGCTGCCAGCATTCACCTGTGCAAGCTTCCAGCTTGCTTATCTATGTCTGCAGCTCAATTTTACAGGCTGCTCTTTGTTAGAAAAGAAATGATTTGGGGACTGCTTTTTGTTAAAAGGGAAGGCTTACCAAGGACTATCTTACCCTCACTAGCTGCCTAAATCATTTCTTTTTAGCTCCTGTATCAATGGGAGGCCTACACTGTGGGGGTATAGAGAAGCAGATGGAGTCAAACACATTCATGAGCTGGGCACGGTGGTTCACGCCTGTAACCTCAGCACTTTGAAAGACCGAGGCAGGCGGATCACCCGAGGTCAGGAGTTTGAGAACAGCCTGACCAATATGGTGAAATCCCATCTCTACTAAAAATACAAAAATTAGCCGGGTGTGTTGGCGGGTGACTGTAATCACAGCTACTCAGGAGGCTGAGGCATGAGAATCACTTGAGCCCCAGAGACGGAGGTTGCAGTGATCTGAGATTGTGCCACTGCACTCCAGCCAGGGCAACAGGGTGAGACTTCGTCTCGAAAAAGAAAAAAGAAAAAAAAAAGACATTCATGAAGTAAAACTGAGTTCTCTGGATAGCCCCTTCTGCTCTGATTCTGTCCTCGTCTTAAAGGAAGCATCTGAGACAGGAAAGAGATTTCCCTGGGGACCTTTCATCCAACGCTCCTTTGTCTCTAAAAGATGCTTGCTTTGCACTGGTGACAGAAAAAGTGGAGTCTAAAGAAAGTACGCGGGACCTGAGCAAAAATGGCAAGGGGCAGTGTTAGAGGACTCCGGCAACCTCTTCTCTCCAGAGCCGTTTCCTCTGCCTGGCAGAATCCTGGATGTGGGAGTACTCAGGGGATTCATCTACCTATAGTTGCAGGCACACGTACGGTTCACTGGTACCCATATGGCATTCCAAACGCACCCTGTCTAAGGCAACAAGAACCTCCTGCCTGCTAGCTCATAGGAAACCTCTCCCATGGAGAATGAAGCCAATTCTATGACTTGAAGTTTGGGGCAGTGTTTGTTGAACAGAATAGTTGACTTCTGTTTAAAATGCAAATACCTTTAGGAGAGACAACATATGCAGCTGAAATTCGTCCAACAAGAGTACAAAGCAACCCTTATAAACCTGTGAGCCACATGGCTCAGTTTCACAATAGGGTCATAGTCAGAGAAACACAGTTCACCAACCAAAGTAATTCCAGTTTGTCAGTTTCTCATAAACAGACACATCACCTGACCCAACAATTGCACTCAGATATTTATGCAAGAAAAATGAAAACGTATGTCCACACAAAGACTTTTACATGAATGTTCATAGCAGCCCTATTCAAAACAACCCCAAACTGAAAACGACCGCAGCATCCATCAACTAGTAAATGCATAAACAAATTGTGGTGTGCCTAGTATATTACTCAGCAATAAACAGGAACAAAGATGGACGCATGCAGCAACACGGATGACTCTCAAGTGAAAGAAGCCAGACACAAAAGGTTAATCCTTGTATGATTACATGTATGTGACATTCTGGAAAAGGACAAAACCATAGGGACAGAAATTAAATTGAGATAGGTTGAATTATCTTTAATGCAAATCAGTGGTTGCCAGGAGCAGGGGCTGGAAGAGGAACTGGAAGGAACTACAACCTATGAAATCTTTGTATAGGTTAATGGCATAACTTTGGTATGTAATTGGCTTTGTGGCTTGCTCATCTGTATCTCTCTGTATTTACATCTGTGAGTGTATATAAAGATGAATATTGCAGGTTTGTTTTTTACTGGCTCGAGTAGAGAGAGGGTGCCCTGGGCACCTCTACACCCAGCTCTCTCTCCTCTCTATTACTTGATCTCAGATAAGGATGGATTCTTCAACACTGTTACAGGAAACAGCAAACATCCTTCTAAGTAAAAGGGCATGGGGGAATTTTCAAGGTAATGGAAATGTTCTGTATCTTGACTGTGACGGTGGTTGCATGGCTGTAGGCGGTCATCAAAATTCACTGAACTGTACACCTCCAAAAGTGAATTGTACTGCATGTAAATTACACCTTGATAGACCTGACTTGGAAAAAAAAGCCCTCATGTTCCTTGCTTGTTTTTCTCACTCTGTGAAGTATGCAGTCTTTAGCCACACTTCTTTAAAGTCCCTTTTGTCTCCCACATGCTGCTTTTGTCGCCTGTCATTTTGTCCCTGCAAAAAAGGAAACTCCTCCCCCAGGTGGAGTCCACTCTCCCCACGCTCTCTGCCCTTCCCCAACCCCTGCAGTTCTGAGTCTCCCAATCCTGCACCATAAAAACCCCAAAGACAACATCTGGGTGGGAAGGCTGGAAGTCTTTTTTTTTTTTTTAAAGAACATGCTCTCTTTCTTGCTTTTATTATTATTTTTAATTGACACATAATTGTGCATATTTATGCAGCACAGTGTGATATTTCAATACACGTATATGACGCATAGTCATCAAATAAGGATAATTAGCATATACATCACCTCAAACATTTATCATTTCTTTGTGCTGGGAACATGCAAAATCTGCCTTTCTGACGAATTGGAAATATACAATAAGTTGTTAATTGCAGTCGCTCCACAGTGCTGTAGAATACTAGAACTTATTCCTCCTATCTGGATACACTTTTGTATCTGTTAACCAACCTCTGGCTGTCCTCCCATCCTACCCTTCCCTGACTCTAGTAACCATTATTCTACTCTCTACTCCTACGAGATCAACTTTTTCATCTAACACATAGCAGTAAGAACATGCAGTATTTATCTTTCTGTGCCTGGCTTATTTCACTTAACATCATGTCCTCCAAACTCATTCACATTACCGTGAATGACAAAATTTCATTATTTTTGATGGCTGAATAATATTGTGCATATATACCACGTTTTCTATTGAGGAACACTTAGTTTGAGTTCACGTCTTGGCTATTGTGAATAGTGCTGCAATAAACATGGGTGTACAGATATATCAGCAAACTGATTTCATTTCCTTTGGATAGCCACCCAATAGTGGGACTTCTGGATCATATGGCAATTCTATTTTTAGTTTTTTAAGGAACCTCCATGGTGTTTCTATAATGGCTATACTAATTTACCTTCCCACCAACAGTGTATAGAGTTTCTCTTTCTCCGCCTCCTTGCTGGTATTTGTTAATTTTGTCTTTTTAGTAATAGCCATTTTAATTGGGGTGAGATGATACCTCATTATCGTTTTGATTTGCATTTCCCTGATGATTAATGACATTAAGCATTTCTCTGATATGCTCATTGGCCATGCATATGTCTTCTTTTGAAAAATGTCTATTCAGGTTATTTGCCCTTTTTAAAATTAGATGATTTGGCTTTGTTGTTGTTATTGTTTTGCTGTTGGGTTGTTTGCATTCCTTATATATTCTGGTCTCAAACTCCTGGCCTCAAGCCATCCTCCCGTGGCCTCCCAAAGCACTGAGATTACAGGTGTGAGCCACTGCACCCAGCTTTTATATATTCTGTTTATTAATTCCTTATCAGATGAATAGTTGCAAATATTTTCTCCCATTCTGTAGGTTGTCTCTTCACTCTGTTGACTGCTTCCTTTACGTGTAGAAGCATTTTAGCTTGAGGTAATCCCATTTATCTATTTTTGCTTTTGTTGCCAGTGCCAAAAAACCTTTGCCCAGAGCGAAGTCCTCCCGAAGTGTTCCCCCAATGTTTTCTTCTAGTAGTTTTGTGGTTTCAATTCCTGCATTTAAGTCTTTAATCCATTCTGATTTGATGTTTTCTATATGGTGAGCGATCAAAGTCTAGTTTCATTTTTCTGTATATGTGTATCCAATTTTTCCAGCAGCATTCATTGAAAAGACTGTTCTTTCACCATTGAATGTTCTTGGTGCCTTTGTTGAAAATCAGCTGGCTGGTCTCAGTGGAGACTCTGCTCTGGGAGGGAGAAAGAGGTGGGACCTCATGCAAGCCGTGAAGGTGCACGGTAGGCAGCTGCAATGGTGCTGCTGTGCACCCTAAACAGGTATCTGCTGCTCATGGTCAAGGAGCACCTGGAGTTCCACCTACCAAACACTGAATGGTAATTGTCTGATGTTGAAGCTTAAATGCCTCAGGAAATAAAGTCTTTGCTTTCGTTTTTTGGAGGTCAGTTCGCCAGCAGTCAAGAAACATGGAAAGTCACCATTTTAAATTCTTGGCATTCCCTCTGAAGATATTGCAAGAGATTTAATGAAATGGACAGTCTGTGTGTGAACTATGGGATCATGCACAATCTCCCGAGGAGCTGTACAGTTCTCTTAAAAATTACCCTGTGGACAAGATGGTTCCATTTCTACATTCAGACTCTACATATAAAATAAAGATTCACACTTTTAATAAGACATTGACACAAGAAGGGAAAAATCAAGCGAATAGATGCAATTGAATGTCTGCCATCTGAAGAAAAAGTGAATTTAAAGAAACCACAACATACATTCTCTGTTTTGGAGGATCATGGTTTGGACCCAAACTGCATCCCTGAGAATCCACATAATAATTATTTTGGCAGATGGATTGCAGATGGACAGAGAGAGCTTATTGAGTCATACAGTGTCAAAAAGAGGCACTTTGTTGGAAATACAAGTATGGATGCTGGTTTGTCATTCATCATGGCTAACCACGGGAAAGTGAAAGAAAATGATATTGTCTTTGATCTGTTTGTTGAAACAGCAGTGTACTGTAAACTGGGTCTTCTCGAAACTCACTCCAACCGAATGGATAAGCTTCTGTTTAAGAAAGCAAAGGAAAGCTTTTCTGTTCCTCTTGACAACTAGTTCTTCTAGGTGGTCTCCTGATAGCATGTGCCCATTTTGGTATATATGTTTATGGGACAGACATAGACCACAACATAGTTCATGGCTTGGGAATGGCCAGTAGGAAAAAACAGATATGGAGAGCACCAGATGAAAATATTAGGGCCAATCTTTGTCAATATGGTTTACAGAAGTATGACCTTGAAGTTCTGGTTCCAGATGCATATAAACCTTCCTGGAGAAAGGGCATATATATATATATATATATATATATATATATATATATATATATATATATATATATTTTTTTTTTTTTTTTTTTTTTTTTTTTTTTGAGACAGAGTCTCACTCTTTCACCCAGGCTGGAGTGCAGTGGTGGGATCTTGGCTCACTGCAAGCTCTGCCTCCTGGGTTCACGCCATTCTCCTGCCTCAGCCTCCCGAGTAGCTGGGACTACAGGCGCCCGTATTTTGATCCTCCATATGGTATCGGAGAATCTACGAGAAGAACAGTTTCACCAAAGGAAATACCAAATGAGATAGAAAAATGTCCAGAAAGCCACATTCCTGTTTCCTTGAGTTATCATCTGAGTGATATGTTTTTTGACTTGTTAAACTTCTCAGCTGAGACCCTTGTGGTAGGTGGAAGACTGGTCTATGGGTTGCTAATGTATATACCAGAATACACTGAAGAGATGGTGCCCTGGCATCCTTGCCTGAAACTCATTAGCAACTGCGAGCAGAAGCTTTCCAGTCACACATCAAGGTGCTTGATAACAATGGAAATGGTGAAGAAATTTGAGAACTGCGACCGGTATTCACATCTGCAAAGTGATCATTTTCTGCCAATACCAAGGTCATAATTCCTTCCGTGAGAAATATTTTAGTGGGGTAACAGAAAGAATTGCCAAGGAAAAACAATCCAGCTAGGAATGAAAATTAAGATTTTGACAATGAAGAAAGGATGAGAATTTGATAGAAAAGACATGTGGATGTGAACTTTCATGTATGATCCAGACAATATGTCCTGTTTTTAAATATTTTATATAAAAAAGGTACAAAGTAAATTGAGCAATGGTTTTAAAGTTATCTTTGTTTTATAGAATTTTTTGTTGTATGTGTTACAATTCTTTTTTTTTTTTTTTTTCTTTTTTGAGATGGAGTCTCACTCTGTCGCCCAGGCTGGAGCGCAGTGGTACGATCTTAGCTCACTGCAACCTCCACCTCCCAGGTTCAAGCGATTCTCCTGCCTCAGCCTCCTGAGTAGCTGGAATTACAGGTGCATGCCACCACGCCCAGCTAATTTTTGTATTTTTAGTAGAGACGGGGTTTCCCCATGTTGGTCAGGCTGGTCTCAAACTCCTGACCTTGTGATCCACCCGCCTCAGCCTCCCAGAGTGTTGGGATTACAGGCGCGAACCACCACGCCATGTTACAGTCTTTTGGATCTTATTTAATTTATATTTGTACTTTCAAGTATTCACAGCGATTGACTCAAAACAGTTTTTTTAAACAATCTACAAAGGGAATTAATATTATTGACTTTTAAAACATATCTGCTGGATACTATAAGCAATTAATTAATAGTAGTTAAGAATTTATTCACTAAGACTGGGCACAGGGGCTCACGCCTGTAATCCCAGCACTTTGAGAGGCCAAGGCAGGCAGTTCATTTGAGATCAGGAGTTCAAGACCACCCTGGCCAAGAGGGTAAAACCCCTTCTCTACTAAAAATACAAAAACTAGCAGGGCGTGGTGGCAGGTGCCAATAGTCCCAGCTACTCAGGAGGCTGACACGCGAGAATCGCCTGAACCCGGGAGGCAGAGGTTGCAGTGGGCCGAGATCATGGCGCTGCACTCCAGCCTGGGCAACATAGTGGGACTCCATCTCAAAACAAAAAAAAAAAAAAAAAAAAAGAAAGAATTTATTCATGGGGTAGATTTGTTTAATTTGGTTTATGATTATCATCGATTTACATTGCCACTAATAAACCATACCGAGAATTTCTAAGAAAACAAAAATGAAAGAAAAAAAATCAGTTGGCTGTAAATACATGGATTTATTTCTGGGTTTTCTATTCTGTTCCATTCATCTATATATATTTTTTTATGCCAGTACCATGGTTATTTTGGTTAAGATAGCTTTGCAGTATATTTTAAAGTCAGATAGTGAGATGATTCCAACTTGCTCTTTTTGCTCAGAATTGCTTTGGCTATTTGGGATCCCCATATGAATTCTAGGATAATTTGTATATTTCTGTGAAGAATTTCATTGGTATTTTGATAGGGATAACAATTGAATCTGTAGATCACTTTTGGTAGTATGACCATTTTCACAATATTAAGTCTTCCAATTCATGAACATGTGATATGTTTCCATTTTTTGTGACCTCTTCAATTGCTTTCATCAGTGTTTTATCATTTTCCTTCTAAAGGTCTTTCACCTCCTTGGTTACTTTTATTCTTAGGTGTTTTAGGGTTTTTTGTATTAATGGTCATTGTAGTCACGTGAGATTGCTTCCTCAATTTCTTTTTTTGCTAGTTCATTGTTGGTGCATAGAAACACTACTGGTTTTTATATGCTGATTTTGTATCCTGCAATTTTACTGTATTTGCTTATCAGTTCTAAGAGTTTTTTGATGCAGCTTTTAGGGTTTTCTGTATAAAATCATGTCATCTGCAAACAAGGACAATTTGACTTCCTTCTTGCCAGTTTTGATGGCATTTATTTCTTTTTCTTGCCTAATTACTCTGGCTAAGACAAGACTAGAAGTCTTCTTGGGAGGAAGAGCCTTTGAGGAAGGGGATGATGGAGGAGCTGAGTGGGCAGAGCTGTAAGTCCTGTCTCCGACAGAACAGTACCCCCACCCCACTGAAAAAAAAAATGGTTGTGCTTACCTTTTTAAAAGTTTGGGAAACACTGGATCTGACTGATATTGCTAAAGTCCCTTTCCGTTCTGACATTCTATAGTGCAATATTGGGCTAGGGAAATGCAAAAGAGTGAATATTCATTACTTGTTCTAATTTAATTTAATCCTCACAACAGCCCTATGAAGTGAGGGTTATTTATTTTTATTTTTTGTATTTTTAGTAGAGGCTGGTTTTCGCCATGTTGGCCAGGCTGGTCTCGAACTCCTGACCTCAAGTGATCCACCTGCCTCGGCCTCCCAAAGTGATGGAATTGGAATTAAAGGAGTGAACCACCATGCCCAGCCGATTTCCATTTTTTTTTTTTTTTTTTTGACAGAGTCTCGCTCTGTTGCCCAGGCTGGAGTGCAGTAGCACGATCTTGGCTCACTGCAACCTCCGCCTCCCAGGTTCAAGTGATTCTCCTGCCTCAGCCTCCCTAGTAGCTGGGATTACAGGTATGCACCACCATGCCTGGTTAATTTTTTGTATTTTTAGTAGAGACGGGGTTTCACCGTGTTAGCCAGGATGGTCTCGATCTCCTGACCTCGTGATCTGCCCACCTGGGCCTCCCAAAGTGCTGGAATTACAGGTGTGAGCCACCGCGAGCGGCCGAAGTGAGGGTTATTTAACTCAGTTCTTCCACATGTGAAATGCAAACTCCACCATCCATGTGCTATTTAGGTCAATCAGTGGCACCCTCAGTACCTTAAGAGCGGTGCAGATAAAGTAACAGAGGGGCAGCGATTGGGGATGGTGATTTCTGGCTGGAATAAAAGCCTCCCCTTCTGGCTGGAATAAAAACATCCCCTTCCTCAAAGGCTACGGAAGAGTTCCCTTCGAGCTGAGCTTTGAAGGCTGGACAGGGAACCCACCAGGAATGGTTGTGAACAAAAGCACAAGACAGGGAAAGCCCAGGGTGAGTTCTGGGCAGCCCACGATGGCTGGTGTGTGAGTGGGGAGCTAGGGAAGGGAGAGGAGAGAGGTGAGCCTGGAGAGGCAGGTCAGAGAGGGGCTTACCTTAACCATTAAGTCCCCCTGGCAAAGAGGTGGTACAGATTCTCCGCATAAGCAGAGAGAAAGAAAGAGCACCAGCTTTCTGAAGGCAAAAGTCTGCAGAATGTCGGGCTCAGGGAGAGAAGACAGGTTTTGCCTTCTTTCCGTGTTCGCCAGGAGCAATGGCTCCAAGCCATAAGGGAGGAGGAATGAATGAATTCATGAATGAATTAAACCAGTATTTATTCACCACCTCTCAACCCCAGGGTCTGCGCCAGATGCTTTCACTCATACTAACTTATTTAATTTTCGTAATAAGCCCGTAAAGTAAGTGTTATTATTCTCAAACTCTCACTTGGCAAACATATACAGAGTGCTTATCATGCCAGAAACTTTGCTTAGCCCTGGAGAGACAGAGACGAGCAAGACCGTGGAAAGAAACGATTTAAAGCCCAAGGTTTGAATCACAATTCTGTGTTTTACTGGTTCCATGTCATTGGCTAAGATACCTCTCTGTGCCTCAGTTTTCTCATCTATAAAATGAACATCATAACAGCACCTGCCAGGGACTCTTCTAAACCCTGTTAGAAAGCTTGGCTGCCGGAATATCATGTGAACCCTCAGTTGCATCTGACTGGGTAAGGGGCGGGTGCTCTACACGTAGGCAGCCAGCCCATTGGCCACGGGCTTATGACATAGCCTATGGAAAAAGGGGTGGAGCATAACAAATTCTCTCAGTGAACTGGAAAATGCAGGGAATGAAGTCCAAGCAGAACAAAAAACAGTAATTTATTCACATGCATCCACAAAGGTTGGAAAGATAAAGCTGGGCATGGTAGCTCACGCCTGTAATCCCAATACCGTGAGAGGCTGAGGTGGGAGGATGGCTTGAGGCCAGGAGTTTTAGACCAGCCTGGGCAACATAGTGAGACCCTGTCTCTACAGAAATAAAAATAATTAGCCAGATGTGGTGGCACACACCTGTGGTCTCAGCTACTTGGGAGGCCAAGGTGGGAGGATGGCTTGTGCTCCAGAGGCTGAGGCTGCAGCGAGCGGTGATCGTGCCATCCGCTCCAGCCTGGGTGACACAGGGAGACGGTGTCTCGGGGGAATAAAGAGGTTGGAAAGAGTTACGAATGCTTCCATTTTCTAGCTTTTGAAACCCACATGGTTTGACTAGTGAAGCTGCACCTCCTACGATGTATCTGGTGCTGGACAGTGTTTAATACAGGTTCGCACCCAACGTCCCCACCATAAAGCTGCAAGCTGAATAGGCAGAAATTACTTGCCTCACTTTACAGATAAGAAAACTGAGATGCACAGAGAAAAGTGACTTTGAAGGGTCCCCAAAACCTCCCATAGTGAAGCTGGTGTGCAGATTCCAGTCTGGCTCAGCTCTGGGTCTGGGCTGTCTCCATTACTCAGGCTTCTAGTTTTTGTTTGTTTGTTTCTTTGTTTGTTTGTTTTTTGAGACTGAGTCTCACTCTGTCGCCCAGGCTGGAGTGCGGTGGTGTGATCTCGGCTCACTGCAATCTCCACCTCCTGGGTTCAAGGATTCTCCTGCCTCAGCCTCCCAGGTAGCTGGAACTGCAGGCATGCACTATCATGCCTGGCTAATTTTTTTTTTTTTTTTTTTTGTATTTTTAGTAGAGATGGGGTTTCACCATGTTAGTCAGGCTGGTCTCAAACTCCTGACCTCAGGTGATCCACCCTCCTCAGCCTCCCGAAGTGCTGGGATTACAGGCATGAGGCACCGTGCCCAGCCAGGCTTCTAGTTTCGACTGGCTCACCAGGAGTTCAAGAGGAAAGCTCGTTCACTTTGTAGTTTAATAGAAATAAAAAATCATACCTACTATAGAAAACGTTTGAGATACATTCAGGGTTGGAAATGTGGTACATTTTGTTCCAGCTTTTATTTGGTACATGGTTGAGATCCAGGCCCTGTGAACAAAACAGCCAGGGCTGCATGTCAATTCCTTGTGCCCATAGAGAGCAGATGAGATGGATGAGTAATTCGGAAAAATGGGCAGCCCCTGAGCCCTGCCAGCTTTCCTCTGGGACACCTGAGGGTCTTTTTCAGCCTGTTAACTATTTTAGAAATCCTAAGAATCATTTTTCTGTGGCTATTCCTCAAAGTGGATGTTGAGGAGTTAGGACAACTATCCAAACTGCTAAACTTGGCCTCTGAGCTCTACAAATTGGCACCTTTTTCCAACCAATCTTACATCCTATCATCCAAGTGCTGCTGAAACTCCAGCCAGGAATACGCATTCACTCTTTCAACATTTATTGAGCACCTACTATGTGCCAGGGACTGTCCTAGACGCTAGGGATAAAATGGTATCCCAGTGATATCTTGATACCATCATGGTGTCTCTATGTTCATTGAGCTTATAATTTAGAGTGAGATATAGACATTAATCAAATAATCATGCACATAAATATAAAACTGCAAACTGTAGTCTGTGAAATGAAGGTAAACTCCAGAGTGAGATGATTGATTATTAGTGAGAAACTTGGCATAATTTGTGGGTGAGTAGGTCTGGGAAGGATCGTCTGAGGAAACCATGGCTCCTTCTGAGGCCTGACACCCAGTCTCATATCCCCATCCCACTCCCACCGGACCCTGATCAAATCCCCACTGCTGAGCCTTCCCTGCAGCTGGTATTTTTGGGTTTTTTTTGTTTGTTTGTTTTATGTTTTATGTTTTTTGTTGTTTTTTTTTTCTGAGACGGAGTTTCGCTCTTGTCGCCCAGGCTGGAGTGCAATGGCAAGATCTCGGATCACTGCAACCTCCGCCTCCTGGGTTCAAGTGATTCTCCTACCTCAGCCTCCCGAGTAGCTGGGATTACAGACATGTGCCACCACGCCTGGCTATTTTTTGTATTTTTAGTAGAGACGGTGTTTCACCATGTTGGCCAGGATGGTCTCAATCTCCTGACCTCGTGATCGGCCCGCCTCAGCCTCCCGAAGCGCTGGGATTCCAGGCGTGAGCCACCGCACCCAGCCTGGAACTGGTATTTCTAACAGCCGCATCTGACCACACACTCCCCTGCTTGGAAACTGCAAAGAGTTATAACATCTTCACATGGCCCGTAAAGCCAGGGACTTCCAGACAGGATGTATAGCCTGTGCAAAACCTGGGAGTGTGACAGCCAGAGGGTGATCCCTGGGGAAGTTCCAGGAGGTGAGGCACCATCTCCAGAGAGGAGACATCCCTACCCCCATGCCCACTCCATCACTTAAGTCCAAAGAAGCTATGTCTTGAGCACGCCTCTAATCCACCCACTGTAACTCACCTCCATGGTCATGGACTCAGTCCAGGCCTCCTCATACTGGGGCTGGGTCACTGAGACAGCCTGCTCCCTTCTCTCCCTGCCTCTGGCCTTGACCTTCTCCCTGCAGTGGCCAGAGCACTCTGGACCACACTGAAGCTCTGTGGCCGCATCACTCCCCCGCATTTAAAACCCTTTGGTGGCTCCCATCACTGCCTACCACACACTGGCCTGCATTCACAGTCCTACACCCCTGGCTTTGGCTGCCCCTCTAGCCTCATCTTTGGAATCCTGACTTCCGCCATAGGAATATTCACAGCTTCCCCGTGTGCCACCATCTCGCTGGGGCCAAGCCTTTGCACTTGCTCTTCTCTTTTTGGGGATGCTCCTCTCTTTGCACCCACTCCCCTTCGGGACTCAGACCTGAGCACCCAGCCTGGGCCAGGTGCCTCCACCATTCTCCTACAGCACCCGGGGACCTTCACAACATGTATCACGATGGCTTCTCATTGCCTGGATACATGTTGGTCTTTCTAACTGGACTGTGACCTGCAGAAGGGCAGGACTGTGGCCATTGCAACATTGGATGCAATGTAGTGGCCAAAAAGGGAAGCTCTGATGGAGGGTGGTGACTGATAGGTGGGTAAATGGGTGGATGAATCTATGCCCACCTGGGAAGAAGTGTCTGATCACAGGTAGGTGATCAGACAGATAATAGATGTGTGGCGGGAAGCTGGGGTAGTATGGGTTGGTGGTAGCCTGTGTGTGCTTAGATTTGAATCTTTTCTTTTCTTTTTTTTTTTCTTTGAGACAGTCTCGCTCTGTTGCCAGGCTGGAGTGCAGTGGCACCATCTCAGCTCACTGCAACCTCCGCCTCCTGGGTTCAAGTGATTCTCCAGCGTCAGCCTCCTGAGTAGCTGAGATTACAGGCACATGCCACTACACCCAGCTCACTTTTGTCTTTTTAGTAAAGACGGGGTTTCACCATGTTGGCCAGGATGGTCTCGATCTCCTGACTTCATGAGGATTTGAATCTTAGTTCTCCCTCTTACTAATTATGTGACCTGAGGCAAGCTAGTTTACATCTCTATGCTTTAGTTTTTTTCATCTGCAAATGGAGATGATGATAATAATATCTTCCTTGTGTGGCTGCAAGGAGGATTAGATGGGTTGCTATCAACATGGTAGATGGTGCCTGGCCCTTCATACACACTCCATAAGTATGAGCTATAGCGATAATGATGAAGGATGGAGGGACGGCAAGTAAACAGGTGGGTGGGCAGAGGGGTGATGAAAGGTGCATGGGCAGGTAGATGGAGGCACATGTAACTAGGGAGTTATGGCATTGGGGGCCTTCCCCTGAGGAACTTGGAGACAGCACTGGAAAGCCAGTGGAAGTGGTTATACAGACAGGGCCTAGGGCAGCCAGAGAGGACTGGGCCAGGATGGGGCCTCCCCAACGGAGAATAGGGCTGCCAAATTCAGCACAGGAGTAGCCAAAAGAGAAGAAAGTGCTGTGCTGGGTACGTTCATCCACAAATGTGCCAAGTTGTGGTTCTGGTACCCATTCAAAAGGAGGCAGAGTGACTGGCCTGGTTGTGCAGCTGGGGAGGAGGAGAAGTGGGGTTCACACTCCAGTCTGTCTGCCTGCATAGCAGCTCCCCCTCTGCCACATCGCTGCCCCTATGTGAGATGCCATCCATTGCTGGAGCACAGACTGGTCCAGCTGTGGTCCATAGAATGTGCCTTCTCCTTCTCCCAGGGATGTCCAGGGTGGGGAGGGGGGTGCTTCTGAGAGAGAGGGAAGAAGGGGACCATTTGTCTGTGGATTGGGGAGGAGGGTGACCTGATCTTCAATGAACAGAGTTTCTGAGCTGGAAGGGACTTGAGAGATGGTACAGGTGCCAGTGTAATGGAGAAGGTGAGGAAACCAGAGCTAGACCTTGGCAGAAAATACCTATAGTTGCATTGATTAGAACCTCCTAGGAGGATCCAATAGCTCCCTTCCATAGATAAGCTGTGTGGGGGTAGGATCAGGTATTGGCTGATTGGACTGGGCCAGCTGAGAGGGGAAAACAGCCAACTTCTCAATAAAGAGGGTGGAAAGGAAGCTGAGCGGGAAACAGGTGGTCTGGTTCTCCCCGCTCCCTCACCCCGATCTGCCACTAATGTGCAAGGCTCTGGGCAAAGAGGAAAGAACTTACCTTCTGGGGAGGCCTGGTGCATGCGAGACACTGTCCATGCTCTTTCCCTGATGCAATCTCACTTTACCCCCACAGCAACCTTCATGATTGGCCCCATTTTACAGATGGGAAAACTGAGGCTAAGAGAAACAAATGACTTGCCCAAGGTTCCACTGCCAGGAAGTTGAAGAACTGCATCCAAACCCAGATGGGTCTCCAAAGTTGGTGCTATACTATACACTCAGCATGCCCCTCCCCTTTTCTGAGTCTCAGTTTCCCCGTCCATACAATAACAAGGTTTTTGATGAAACGACCTCTAAGGCTTCATCCTAGGCTGGAGTGTGCTCCTAGAGCCAACTGCACCAGCTCTTTAGTTCTAGGAGCAAGAGCAGAACACCTGCCCTGTGCCCTGTGCTGAGGATGGGAAGATCAAAAAGACCTGGTCCCTGATATCAAAGAGGGTGCAGTCCGTAGGGGACAGACAGTTACAGGGATGGTCCCAGTACCACACTGTGAGTACATGCTGAGTCTTCCCAGGGACCTAGCCCAGGACTCTCAAGAAGACAATGAAGAATGCGTGCGTACCGCAGCTCCTGAGCCCCAGGAGTGGTTAACCCTCACACGTGCACCATCCTGCACCACCCACATCGCCCTTTCACTCAGCCCCATGAGTTAGCTGAGGTGGAATCCTTCACCAGCCTCATCTTCTAGATGAGGACAAAACTGGGGCTCAGAGCAGCTTAGTAGCTGATCCAAGGTCACAGAGCTTTGGAGGAACAGAGGAATATAAGCCTATTGATTGCCTGGCCTCCTTCCACGTAACCTCCCCTCCAAATCACCTGAAACTCAGAGAAGATCTGGAAACACACAATACTCGAAACCCTGTGAGTCAAGGCTGGCAGACTCAACCACAGGGTAGACTCAAAAGACCTCCTGGAGGAGGTGGGGACTCCTGCTGGTTCCTAAAAATGGTGGGACAATTGGCTAGAGCAGAGCAGGCACCCTGGCAAAGGAATTGCATGTACAAAGACCCAGGGGCCAGAGTGAGCTTTTGAGCAGTGGTGGGAGCAGAGAATACACCTGGAGCAGGGAGCACACCAGACACAGGGAGCACACCTGGGGGAGGGAGCACACCTGAGGCAGGGAACACACCTGGGGTAGGGAGCACACCTGAGACAAAGAGCACACCTGGGGGAGGGAGCACACCTGAGACAGGGAGCACACCTGAGGGAGGGAGTACACCTGGGGGAGGGGGCACACCTGGGACAGGGAGCACACCTGAGGCAGGGAGCACACCTGGGGCAGGGAGCATTCTAGGACAGGGAGTACACTTGAGGCAGGGAGCATACCTGAGACTGGGAGCACACTAGGACAGGGAGCACACCTGGGGCAGGGAGCACACTAGGACAAGGAGCACACTTGAGACAGGGAGCACCTCTGGGGCAGGGAGCACATCCGGGGCAGGGAACACATCCGGGGCAGGGAGCACATCCGGGGCAGGGGACACATCTGGGGCAGGGGACACATCCGGGGCAGGGGACACATCCGGGGCAGGGAGCACATCCGGGGCAGGGAGCACATCCGGGGCAGGGGACACATCCGGGGCAGGGAGCACATCCGGGGCAGGGGACACATCCGGGGCAGGGAGCACATCCGGGGCAGGGGACACATCCGGGGCAGGGAGCACATCCGGGGCAGGGAGCACATCCGGGGCAGGGGACACATCCGGGGCAGGGAGCACATCCGGGGCAGGGGACACATCCGGGGCAGGGAGCACATCCGGGGCAGGGAGCACATCCGGGGCAGGGGACACATCCGGGGCAGGGGGCACATCCGGGGCAGGGAGCACATCTGGGGCAGGGAGCACATCTGGGGCAGGGGGCACGCTAGGACAGGGAGTACACTTGAGACAGGGAGCACAGCGGGGAAGAGGGAGCAGAGAACACACCTGGGGCAGAGATGACACCTGAAGCAGACACAGAGTATGCCTGGAGCAGGGAAGGTCGACCGACTGGGGATAGGGGTGGAGGGCACCTGGCTTGCCCAGGGACTTGAAAGCCAGGCTGGATTTCTAGAATATGGGAGCTGGGGGGGAGATGCAAAGGAGGGTGTGGGGGTGTACCAGGACTTTCCCTCCACTGAGTCTGGGACAGGATTTGGCAGACCTTGCTGTTTGACCTGAACGGTCACTTTTCCTTTCTGAGCTCACTCTCTCCTCAGGGGATCAGAGTCTCCAAGAGTCATGAAGTTCTGATACTTATGACTCCGAATTGGAATGACCTTCTTTTTTTTTTTTTTTTTTTTTTTTCCCAGAAGGAGTTTCACTCTAGTTACCCAGGCTGGAGTGCTGTGGTGCAGTCTTGGTTCACTGCAACCTCCGCCTCCCGGGTTCAAGCGATTATCCTGCCTCAGCTTCCCAAGTAGCTGGGATTACAGGCATGCACCACCACGCCTGGCTAATTTTGTATTTTTAATAGAGATGGGCTTTCTCCATGTTGCTCAGGCTGGTCTCGAACTCCGCCCTGAGGTGATCCCCCCGCCTCGGCCTCCCAAAGTGCTAGGATTACAGGGGTGAACCACCACGCCTGGCCTGCAATGATCTTTCTAAATCAGAAGCAGACTGAGAAGCTTGTGAGTGCCCAACCTGGGCTGAATGAGCATGAGGCAGGCAGAGGACCTGGTGTGGGGGCAACAGGGCCCTGGCTAGACAGCCTGAGGCCTCGGGACCCCTGGGAAAGGAGGGGACAGCAGGTGTGCTGGGGGATGGAGGGGACACACTCTGGACGTAGCTGTTCCAGGCTGATGGACCCTCTGCACCCAGGGGGAATTGAAATCTGGAATGGCACCCCCCAACCCTGGAAAAGTCCATCTCTCCCATGCCTGGGTTCACTCCCTGCCCATCCTCCTGGCCCAGAGTCAACGTGTTTTCTTTCCCCTTCCGTGAATACGTCCTTCCCAGCCCCTCTGGCCCTGCCTAGCCCTGACAGCTAAATCTCACCCCCAATCCTCCTGTTTCTAAGAGGTCCCTGAAAAGGGGGAATAGAACACCCATCCGTGTACTCATTCCCTCTGACAATGCTCAGGAACCACTCACCCTGGGGCTGCTCCAGGCTCCCAGACTGCTCAGAAAAAATCGGCAGGACCCTGGCCTCCCTGCAGCAGAGATGGGTGATAAATGGCAATGGAGAAGAGGTGATACGCGACCTGAAAGACAGGACAGAGCAGACGGCGGGGGGAGCAGGGCTGCTGCAACCTTAACCAGGCCTTGCCGAGACAGCGATGTCTGAGCCAAGGCTGGAAGGATATTTTTCGGGCTGGCTCTGAGTAGCAGTCATTTACTCAAGGCTCACTGTCACCCTGGGAAGCAGCTATTGTACAGAGGAGGAAACTGAGGCTCAGAGGGGGATGACATAGCCCAAGCTGAAGTGGAATGCAAGTCCATGGTTCTGAACACACACAGGGAAACACAGGGGTTGGGGCTGGAGTGAGGATGCCAGAACCCGAGTGCCTGAGCTGAATCTTGCCTTGGCCACATCTGAGCAGAGCCTCAGGTGGGCTACTTATCACCTGGGCCTCAGTTTCTCCACCCATAAAGTGCGAGGCGTGGCAGAGCCTTACTCATAGGGTAGTTGAGAAGATTGGATAATGCAATGTACATGAAGTGCCTTCACAGCACCTGGCACCAAGCAAGGGCTCCAGAAGAATGGCAGGTCCTTGTCCCCATTATCACTATTTCCACAGCACCTCATCTGCCTGACCCACATCCTAGAGCCTCCCAGTAGGGTGCCTGGCTGTGGCCTGGGCCAGCTGACAGAGCCTGTGTTGAGGGGCTGGCTGGGGGGCAGCCACTGTTGTTGATGGGCCCGTTCCCCTAGGCTCCATCTTTCCTCCTCTGCTCTCTCGCTTCTTTCTCACAGGCTGATGAAATATGGATGAGCTGGCAGTGGTACTGCTGCCAGCAGGCACCTGGCCCTTAGGGAGGGTGATGGATAGCCCTGATTACACCGGCCTGGTGGTGGAGGGTGGAGATGGAGGCAGGGAGGGAGGGCAGCCGCAGTCGATGCTTCTCAGAGCCCCGCCCCACCTCCTTCCAGGCTCCTCCAGCTGGCCTTGTCTGGCATCACCTGCCCTCCCAGGTACTGCCAGGGGTTCCAGCCCAAAGGAGATGTTGCCTGTGACACTCCTCAGTGCCTCACAGCAGCCCGTGGGGGAGAAGGGGCAGGAGTCTGTTTCCAGATGACAGACAGATGGACATGAGCCCTTAAGAGGGACGTGAGCCCTGCAGAGCCATTGGCTGTGTTGGGACCAGAAGATTTCCATTCCCCAGTGCAGTCAGTGCTCATTCCCTGCCTGTCAAAGCCTGTCCAGCTCTCAGGGGTACTGGCAATGACTTGGGATGCAACATAGCTTGGAGGATCTGAGTTCTACCTCTGGAGTCAGAGAGTCTGAGTTTGAATCCCAGCTCTGCCACTCAGGCGCCCTTGGGAAAATTAGCTAACCTCTCTCTGAGGCTCAGTTTCCCCATCTGTTAAATGGAAATGATGATCCTAGCCTACTCCTGTGAAGTGGGAGAAGCCCACCTCCCAGATCTCTGCCTGAGGCTGAGTCAGGTCTCTGAAGGATTCAGGTCATCCTCACCCACCTCTCTTTCCTCTCTCCTTCTTCCTGGAGTGCCTTTCCCCACTCTGCACCTGGTGAGCCCTGGGCTCCTGTTCAAATATCACCTCTGCTGGGAAGCTTTCCCCGCCCACCACGTTTCTCTATGGGGCTGGTCACTCCCAGTTTGGAAACACCACTAGGTCTCAGCCATCTCTGCACCACAGTCCAGGCCCACTGTGCAGCAGTCACTGGCTTGTCTGCTTCTCCCTCACAGTGGGCCCCTGGAGAGCAAGAATCCAACTCGGTCCTCCTCCTGGAGCCGCAGTGCTGGGCAGAGTGGCTGAGCAGAGCTGGGGCTCACTTGTGATGAAGAAGAAGCTTCCATGGAGGAAGCCAGGCTTTATACCTCCCACAGGTGTGGGACTTTCCTCAGGAGACTGGACATCGCGAATTGCTTTTCACAGCCTTGAGGACAGAGCAGTAATGGGGAACTCTCAGGACATATGACACAATGTGAAGAAGAGATGATTAGGCCGGCAGAGGCTCTAGGAGCCCCCTAAATCCCATCCCGCCAGCAGCTGCCTGTGTCCCCCAGGCATCAACCCTTCCGCCCTCGCCCAGTGTCCTTTACTTTCCACCATGCACATATTCCTTATTTTATTTTTGAGCCAGAGTCTCACTCTGTCACCCAGGCTGCAGTGGTGCGATCTTGGTTCACTGCAACCTCCGCTTCCCGGGTTCAAGCAATTCTCCTGCCACAGCCTCCCGAGTAGCTGGGATTACAGGCGCCCGCCACCACATCTGGCTAATCTTTTGTATTTTTAGTAGAGTCAGGGTTTCACCATGTTGGCTAGGCTGGTCTCGAACTCCTGACCTCAAGTGATCTGCCCACTTCAGCCTCCCAAAGTGCTAGAATTACAGGTGTGAGCCACTGCACCCAGCCCCTCACTTTATTTTTGCTAGACTGCTATGAGGGACCTCTCTGTGCTGAACTTTCCTGCCTCAGGGCCTTTGCACAGGCCCTTTCTTTTTCCTGGGATGCCCTTGTTTCAACTCTTTGCCTGGGCTATGTCTACTCATCCTGAGTCTTCACTGAAATATCACTTCCTCAGAGATGTCCTCCCTAGCTTTTTGGACTAGGTTGAACCTCCTCTCTGCTCCTCCAGCACCCCAAGATTTTTTCCATAGCACTTATCACAGTTTGCAATTACACATTTTATTTATCTCATTGTTGGCATCTTGACAGAATCGCAGCCAAGAGCATGGCCTTTGCAGTCAGACGGCCTGGATTACAGAGGTTTTGCCTGGCAGGAGCTGTGCGGCCCCAGCCCCATTATATCCTCTCTCCATGCTGCAGTTTCCTTATCTGTAAAATGGGTCAATAGATGTACCCACTCGAGGCACCGCTGTGAGAGTTAAATGGGCTTATACCATAAAGCACCTAGAAAAGTGCACAGCCTCTAGTGGGAGTTTTTGTTTTTGTTTTTGTTTTTTTTGAGATGGAGTCTCACTCTGTTGCCCTGGCAGGAGTGCAGTGGCATGATCTCGGCTCACTGCAACCTCCGCCTCCCGGGTTCAAGTGGTTCTCCTGCCTCAGCTTCCCAAGTAGCTGGGACTACAGGCATGTGCCACCACACCTGGCTAATTTTTTGTATTTTTAGTAGAGATGGGGTTTCACCGAGTTAGCCAGGATAGTCTCAATCTTCTGACCTCATGATCTGCCTGCCTTGGCCTCCCAAAGTGCTGGGATTACAGGCGTGAGCCACTGCGCTGGGCAGTGGGAGCTTTATATATGTCCATTTGGATTGTTACTGTCTGTCTCCTGCCTGGGGAAGCCCCATAGGGGCAGGCACTGGGCCAGTTGTGTTCACCAACTTATCCCTGACCCCTATCTTGGCACATGGCAGGAACCCAACAGTTACTGAATGAATGAATGAATCTATGAGTGGTGTAGTTAAGTACTTCCCCTAGTTTTCAGTTTTAGAATGTTTTATAATTTTAAGGGATTTTGTGGACTCCCACAGGATACTGGTTTCACTTCAAGCCTTTATTAATGGAGAAGAATAATATCATCAGGTCCCTGGGAGTTTGTGGATGAGTTTAATTACCTTTTTACTATTAGTCTCAATAGTCTTGATAGAGGCTTGAAAAAGAGTCTCCTGGAGGAGACTTGAGGATGACAGGCATATTCCTGCCAAGTTTAGAGGCTCTGGTTGGCACACACGTGGCTTCACTGGGAAAGTAGGAGTCTCGGGGTGCACACATTGGGTTTGAGGTGCCTGCAGGACATTTGGGGAGGGGTATCAAGGAGGCAGCTGGAAGCCAGGAGGGCTGGCACTAGGAATGTGGAGAACATCAGCTCAGATATGGACTTAAAGGCATGACATCACCAAGGAAGAGAGTGTGGAGGTAAGGAGGGGAGAGGGCAATGGAGAAGGCGCCTGGGTTGGTACCACTGAAACTTCAACTCTCAGAGCGGCCAGAAGCGGTGGCCCTGGAGAGACTGAGGAGTGACCCACGCAGCAGGAAGAAAACCAGGGGACTGGAGTGCCACCAAGTCAGGGTTCAGGGTCTGAGGACGGAAGGAGGAATTATCTGTGCGGCGCTGCCTCAACAGCTCTGCTAGAATTCAGCAACAGGAGGGTGGGCAGTGACTCCACCAAACAATATTAGCCACACAGGCACGGGTTGGAGACGGAAGAGGAGGGAAAGAAGTGGGGTCATTTGGCCGGCACAATGGCTCACGCCTGTAATCCCAACACTTTGGGAGGCTGAGGCAGGTGGATCACCTGAGGTCGGGAGTTCAAGACCAGCCTGACCAACATGGAGAAACCCCGTCTCTACTAAAAACACAAAATTAGCCAGGTGTGGTAGTGCATGCCTGTAATCCCAGCTACTTGGGAGGCTGAAGCAGGAGAAACACTTGAACCCTGGAGGCGGAGGTTGCAGTGAGCCAAGGTCATGCCACTGCACTCCAGCCTGGGCAACAAGAACAAAACTCCATCTCAAAAAAAAAAAGAAAGAAAAGAAAAGAAATAGGGTCATTGAGCTGCTGAGCAGTTCTGCTGAAAAAATGGGCAGTCTTTGGATGACCAGGAGGTCTCTCTTTCTCTATCTCTCTGTCCATCTCTGCCTCTCTGTCTCTTTGTGTGTCTCTCTCCAGTTGGGGGAGGTCGGATCTCCTCTGTGCACTCATGGGAACGATCCCATGAAAGAGGAGAGGTGGAGGATGCAGGAACCAGAGGCTGATGCCTTTGGAAGGCAGATGGGAGGAACTGCCCTCCTATGCCAGCCCAGGCTGTTTTGGGTATGGCAGTGGTACACAGCTGCCCTTGAAATGGGAGGGTGAATTAAGAGGATCAATGCCTGTGAAGGACCTAGCCCTGTGCTGGCATGTAGAAGATTCCCAATTAGCATCTATTCTCTTCCTTCTGCTGCCTGGGAGGCTTGGGAGTGGCTTCTCACTGGGAACTCACAGTTGCTTCATGGCTCCAGGCCTCCCGTTGGGCCCAGGGAGATGAAGGTAAGGAATGAGACCGCAGCATGCTGGCCGCTCCTGCCATCTCCCAGCCCTCCCTGTTTACTCTGGGCCTCTCTCTCCTCCCATCCATTTTGTTACCCATAGAGCAGCAACCCCACATCAGTCACTGCCGGGCCCGCTCCCCGTGGGGAAGCGCTAGTTGGAGTCTGGTTGGAACCTCCATGATGCTGACATCCCCACCATAACATTGTTATGAAACTTGATCGACTGCCAGCAGCCAGTTCCAGGATGGGCGGCCGGGCCTGCAGGCAGAGGGACAGGGCCAAGGGAACAAAGACCTCCAAAGAAGCAGATAAATTATAATTAAAGCAAGTCTAAAGGCAGATCAGAAGAAGGACCTTGCTGGCACTCCAAAACTCAGGGTAGCATCATGGGCTGTCAGAATCGCAGAGAATCCGAGTGTCTTAGAAGGCCAGAATCGGCTCTGAGTCATAGATTCTTACAGAAATACATTCTGACAGTGCTACAAGTCACTATTCTTCAAATCACAGAGCCTTGGATCTCTAAGGGATGTGAAGAGGCGGTGTGGTCTAAGGGCTAAGAAAGGTGAGTGGGGCCAGGCACGGTGGCTCATGCCTGTAAATCCCAGAACTTTGGGAGGCCAAGGTGGGCAGATCACTTGAGGTCAGGAGTTCGAGACCAGCCTGGCCAACATGGCAAAACCCCGTCTCTACTAAAAATGTAAAAATTAGTCAGGCATGGTGGCGGGCACCTGTAGTCTCAGCTACTCAGGAGGCTGAGGCAGAATTGCTTGAACCCAGGAGGTGGACATTGCAGTGAGCTGAGATCACACCATTGCACTCCAGCCTGGGTGACAAGAGCGAGACTCCATCTCAAAAAAAATAAAAAAATAAAAAATAAAGGTGAGCAGGGTACTTCCATGCCTGGATTCAATCCTGTCTTTGCCACAGATGAGCTGTGTGACCTTGGGCAAATTACTTACCTTCTCTGTGTTTCACTTCCCCCTACTGTAAAATCAAAATAAGGCAGTTGTGAGAATTCTGCAAATGCTGTTTTTGCAGACTCTTAAGCCAATATATCGCAAAATCAGTCTTCCAGTGGTCTTCAATTCTAACTTCTCATGGCAAGCATCACCTCTAGAACACTCCCAAGAGATGCCTATCACCTCTGAAAGCAGAGTTTACTGCCTCACAAGACAGCCAATTCCTCTGTACCCATCGTGGGGATTGGCTGTGCTCCCCATATTCACTCACTCCCTTCCTCAAGGCAGCACCTCAGTAAAACGTATCAGCAGTGCTACCCACCTGCACCAGCTAAGGGCTGCAGGACTCCGCCCAAGTGCTTGCTGACAGGGCATGGGTACAGAAGACCTCAATTACATACACTTAAGAATCCTCCCTTCCTCCCTCCCTCCTTTCCTCCCTTCCTCCCTCTCTCCCTCCCTCCCTCCTTTCCTCTCTCCCTCCCTTCCTCCCTTCCTTCCTCCCTTTGTTCCTTCCTTTTTCTTTCTTCCTCCCTCCCTTCCTTCCTCTCTTCTTCCCCTCCCCTCCCTCCCTCCCTCCCTTCCTTCCTTCTTTCCTTCCTTTCTTCCTCTCTCCCTCCCTTCCTCCCTTCCTTCCTCCCTCTTTCTTCCCTCCTTCCTTTTTCCTTCTTCCTCCCGTCCTTCCTCCCTCTGTCCCTCCCCTCCCCTCCCTCCATCCCTCCCTCCCTTCCTTCCTTCCTTTCTCCCTCCGTCCCTCCCTCCCTTCTTTCCTCCCCTTCCTTCCTTCCTTCCTTCCTTCCTTGCTCAGAACCAGGCTCTGTTCTAGGTACTGGGGAAAGACCATGGGCAGATCCAAAGTCCCTGTGCTTAGGGAGCTTACAGTCTCTTGGGAAAGACGTGGGTTAAATAAGCAACAGCATGGAAGGGTGAGAAGGGACGGGGGTGGGGACAAGACAGCATGCCCAGGGGCACCCCAAGTTCTGGGGTGAGGGTAGTGATTGATGAGGGGCTAAGTTCTATTCCCTTCTAGTTTTCTGTGTGACCTTGAGCACATTTCTTAGTTTCTCTGAGCCTTGCATTCTCAAATGACTGGGGGTGGGGGGAGCAGAGGCGAAGCCACAGACACTAAGAAAAGTAGCCCTGCCTACCCCACAGGAGAGTGGGAGGCCCCCAAGAGACAGTGGGGCACGCTCGGCATTGTCTGCCCTCTTCCCCACTAATCGCCTTCCTGGGTTGAATTGCACACAACGTAGGAGGCGCATCTCAATTAGCCTGAGGTGATCATGGCAGCCCTTTTCTACTCTTTTCTACTCTAGCCCTTTTCACTCATTGGTCTTGAGTGAGCCAGTTCAGAGTGATAATCACATAAAGCAGAATCTCTGGAGGGTGTGAGGAGTGGCAGTATGTTTCCAGGTGAAGATTTTCACCTCTGATGAAAGAGAAAAATCACATGAAGATTCCTTTGCTCCCTTTCCTCTCATCCTATTTTGTTTTTCTGTGCTTTTTTTTGAGACAGGGTCTCACTTTGTTGCCCAGACTGGAGTGCAGTGGCATGATCTCGGCTCACTGCAATCTCCACTCCCAGGGCTCAAGTGATTCTCCAGCCTCAGTTTCCCAAGTAGCTGGGGCTACAGGCGCCAGCCACCAATGCCCGGCTAAGTTTTGTATTGTTAAATAGACAGAGTTTCCCCATGTTGCCCAAGCTGGTCTTGAACTCCTGAGCTCAAAGCTATCTGCCCTCCTTGGCCTCTCAAAGTGCTGGGATTACAGGCATGAGCCACCATGCCTGGCCACTCTCTTCCTATTTTGGACACAGTCGTGTGAGGACGTGATGCCTGGAGCTATGGCAGCCATCTTGTGACCATAAGGTGCGAAGCCTGAGGATAAATGCCAACATGCTGAGGGTGCCAGTGTGCAAAAATTGAAAGCAGCAGGGAGGCCAATGACACTGTTAAGCTGCAGAATCAACATGAGGACAATCTAGATCCGGACATCTTCCCAAGTCAACAATAGATATCCTTAGAAGTTAAGCTACTGATAGTTGAGTTTTCGGATATTACAGCTAAGCACATCCTTCTTTGCTTTCCCTGTTCCTACTCAGCCTTCCAAAGCCAGGTAAAACCATTATCTCCTTCATACAGTCATTCAATAAATGTTTGCTGACTAACAACAAATATTTATAGAGCACGCATATGGCCTCTGCTCGGTTTTAGGTGACAGTCTAGTGGGAGAGAGACAAAAACAATAAATAAATTGATTACAAATTGCGATGAGCTTCATACATATACATTAAACAGTGGGGTGCTGGCTGGGCGCAGCGGCTCATGCCTACAATCCCAGCACTTTGGGGGGCCCAGGTGGGCAGATCACCTGAAGTCAGGAGTTCGAGACCAGCCTGGCCAACACGGTGAAACCCCGTCTACTAAAAGTACAAAATTAGCCACTTGTGGTGGTGCGCATGTGTAATCCCAGCTACTCAGGAGGCTGAGGCAGGAGAATCGCTTGAACCTGGGAGGCAGAGGTTGCAGTGAGCTGAGATCGCTCCACTGTACTCCAGCCTGGGCGACAGAGCAAGGCTCTGACTTAAATAAATAAATTAAATTAAATAAATGAGGGGGTGCTGAAATAGAGAATGACTCCTTTAGGTAGAGCAACCCCAAGCTTCCAAAGCCAGGTAAGCCATTTTCTCCTTCATACAGTCATTCAATAAATGTTTGCTGACTAACAAGAGATATTTATAGAAGACCTATATGGCCCCTGCTCGGTTTTAGGTGATAATCTAGTGGGAGAGAGACAAAATACGGTAGGAAGCCCTCTCTGAGGAGGTAACATTTAAGCAGGCACCTGAATGAGTGCAAAGTGCAGGGCGGGGCGATGTCCAGGAAGTAGGAATGAGTTGGGCCAAGCCCCAAGGGTGGACATGGCTTAGTGTGTTCGAGGAACTGGAAGAAACCCGTGTGGCGGGACAGTGGACAGCAGGGAGGAGACGATAACATTAGAGGAGGTGGAGAGAAAGCAGAGCCAGATGGCACAGCAGGACAGAGTATGGAATCTATTTTAGGGCAACGCCACCAGGAAGTGGCACGGTCTGATTTCTGTTTTAAGAAAATCCCTCCGCCTCCCACGTGGGAAACAGGCTTCCTGAATCCTTCCCGGTCTCTCCTGCCTCCCTCTGCCCTCACCTCTGTTTTAAGCCTCTGCATTTTTGCTCTCACCCCCTCCAGACCACAGTCTCCTCCCAGGATGAGATCGGGTGTAACTCGTCTCCAGCTCAGCACCCTCACTGTGGCCAGTGGGCCCCTCTTCTCCCCACGGCAGTCGACATCCGGGAAGAACTTCCAGGCACTGGGCTGGGTACCGAGGGTAATAAACTGACAATTCCATTTATGGACAGTGGCCTCATGCACCTCACAGGCCTCACACAGCAGGCAGGGGTGGGCCAGGGCCACCAGGAACCAGCCCCAGGCCTGGGGTTGCTCAAAGTTTCATAACTGTGCCCGTGTCCAAAAACAGAAGAGCCAGGCAATTCTGTCCTCCCATTAATGTCACCAAGCTGGACTTCTTCCTACCCCAGCTGCCCCCTGGCTCCCCCACCTCCTTCTTTGACGCAGTCAGGCTGTCCAGGGACAGAAGAAGAAGGACAGAAAAAGAACTCATTCCTTATCTTGGAAAGCAACGTTGAAACACCCTCACATCTCTACCAGCCCTCAGGCTTTGCGGGGAGCAGGAACTCCACCACCTCCCATAAGCTCTCTGTCCTGGGTGGCAGCTGGCAGCCTCTGCCATCAGAGCATGGCTTGTGTCATGGCTCCAGGATGTTCCAGGTGAATCAGCTCTTGGGGTCCCAAGAGAAAGAGAGATTTGGCTCAAAGTGTCTTGGTCTCTTCCCTGTGCAGCCTAGTCACATCCTTCCTCCCGACATTTATTACTCCAGACTGTGTTTCAGACACCAAGCCATAGCTTCCTGGAACACCGAGAGCCCTTGGAGATCAACTGGGGCCTGGCCAACACCCAAGGGATCCGAGCCATACCCCAGCCAGTCACGGTGGCTGAGCACAGCCACAGTTCTCAGTCGGGGGGCGGGGGCAGTAGGCGCCACAGAGCTGCATCAGCACCTCGGAGAATCTGAATCACAGCCCCCACACCCCCACTCTGTGGTCAAGACCCTCCGGCAGGATCGCTGGGCAGCGTGTGGTGAAGAGCTCAAACTCCAAGCCAAACTGCCTGGACTGGAATCTCAGTCCCCCCACTCACTAGATACGGCATCTTAGGCACGGGCCTCAGTTTCCACATCTGTAAAATGGAGATAACCTTCCAGGGTTGGATAACCCTGACCTGTGATGTGCTTAGGACAGGGCCTGGCACATAGCAAATGCTCTAAAAGAGTTGACTGTGTTGCCAATTTGTAAAATTCTGTGAGATCCTGTCTCCTTTGCCATGCCGCTGCAAGGTTATACGCAGATAAAACTTAAGTTACAATTCCGGTTTTCTTCAAGATCTGAGACATGTTAATTGTCTTTGTTTCTCGCTCTGGTAACATCTTCCCGCCGCACATATTTCCCGCCTTAAAGAGTTTAAAAGGTGATCAAAAAATCTAACACTGGCTACCCGCTTGGGACTCCTTCCACGCTGTGGAAGCTTTATACTGTCACTCTGCTTAATAAAGCATACAGCTTTTTTTTCTCTAGGAAAAAAAAAAAAAAAGAGTTGGCTGTGTTGCTATTTGCCATTGAGGCTCCTCAAGTCAAGGAAAGGTAGTGGCTCGCCCAAGGCTGCCAAGTGAGCCTGTAGCAGATCCAAAGCTGGAACCCACGTCTCCTAACTTCCAGACCAGTGCTCAGCCGCTGAGCTCACCAAGGCTTTGGATGGTCACAGGGACTTTTCTTTGCTACCTTGGAGGAAACATTTTCAAGGCATTGCGCTGCCACCCATCACCATAAACAGAGACTCACACTAGGCCAGGCGCCGTGGCCCACGCCTGTAATCCCCATACTTTGGGAGGCCAAGGAAGGCAGATCACCTGAGGTCAGGAGTTCGAGACTAGCCTGGCCAACATGGCGAAACCCCGTCTCTACTAAAAAATACAAAAACTAGCCAGGGCGTGGTAGCATGCACCTGTAATCCCAGCTACTCAGGAGGCTGAGGCAGGAGAATTGCTTGAACCCGGGAGGCGGAGGTTGCAGTGAGCCGAGATCGCACCACTGCACTCCAGCCGGGGTGACAGAGCAAGACTCCGTCTCAAAAAAAAAAAAAAAAACAAACAAACAAAAACAGAGACGCACACTGTCTCCCTGGGGACACACAGAGATTGAATCACAGAGACACAGCGTAAGTGTACACACAGTCACAGAAACACTGACATACTGAGGATCACAGAAGCACATGTGCGCACACACGCTGCACCCCACGATCCAGACCTCACCATCTTCTCTGCTCTCTTTCCTTCCTCTCCCCCTCCTTTCCCTCCGAACACGCTTATTGTGGCTGTTTTCCCAAAGTCCCCAGCCTGTCATTTGAAGGAGAGATGATGTTGGCAGCTGCTGCTGCTGCCAGCTAAAAGCCAAAACTTCTTGTTTCCAGCCTCTGATCTTGGTGTCCCAGCTCACCTGGGGAGCCAGCGGAGGCTGTGGGGTGGAGGCCTTAGCTCTGAGCCGCAAGCCTCCAACTGCAGCTGCCTTTTTCTACCCTCATTCACCCCCAGGATGTCCCAACTCAAGGGCAGCTGGGGGCTCTCGCCAAGGCCGTCTAGAGTGGGAAAGCCGGGGGTCTGCATGATCCCCACTATCAGAGCAGCTCAGCAAGACCCTCCCTCCAGAGCCCTCCAAGTTGTATAAAAGATCAATCCTCAGACTCCGACAACATCAGGGCCGCAAGGACCACTCCCAGCCATCTAATCCGGGTCCCTCCTGTTACAAATGGGGAGATGGAGGCTCAGAGAGGGGGTGAGATTTGTCCAGAGTCACACAGCAGAACCCAACTGGTGGCCAGGGCTCTAGACTCCCCACCTGGGCTTCTCCTCAGCCTCACTCTGAAGGTCGCAGCGTTGATGAAAGCCTGCCTGGGCACCAGCCTGCTGCTGACCCCATATCACTGCTCCTATAACCCCTTCTACACAGCCTCGCTGCAACTCCCAAGGCGGAGGCCGGCCAGCTCTTCTGTGACGGTCTCCAGAGTCAGAAACCTTCCCAGAGCCTGTCTTGGTGATTTATTTGCCCCTTCCTTCCTGTTTATTCAGCCCCTTGGCAAAAAGCCCAGAGGGAGAATTTATGAGAGGAGAAGGAGGGAAGTGGGGAGAGAAAGAGAGGTGGGGGGAGCAGGGGCGGGGCAGCTGGGGGAAGATGAGTATGGGCTGATAAAAGGAGGAAGAGAGTGGCTGTGTGCAGTGGCTAACACCTGTAATCCCAGCACTTTGGGAAGCTGAGGCGGGTGGATCACCTGAGGTCAGGAGTTCGAGACCAGCCTGACCAATGTGGTGAAACCCCGTCTCTACTAAAAATACAGAAATTGGCTGGCTTGGTGGTGGGTGCCTGTAATCCCAGCTACTCGGGAGGCTGAGGCAGGAGAATCACTTGAACCCAGGAGGCGGAGGTTGCGGTGAGCCAAGATCGCGTCACTGCACTCCAGCCTGGGTGACAGAGTGAGACTCCATCTCAAAAAAAAAAAAAAAAAAAGAGGGAGAGAGGAGGGAGAAGTTCAGGAAAGAACAACACAGCGTATGTTCGTGTGAGAGGAAGAGAAGACAAAACAGCACGTGAAGCCAGCGCTGGCTTTGGATGAGGGATCCGTTTGACATGGATCTACCTGCCAAGGGAAGATCCTCCTGGAGTATCCCTCAGCTGGGCTGCCAAGTGCTCCATGGGATGCCTGGAGTTGGAGAGGAGGTCCTGGGTGCCCAGGCCACTCCCAGGCAGATAGGCAGCTGGGGACACTGCACCAAGGAAGCTCCTGCCTTCCTCAAGATCCCAGTGTATTCCTTCCTTGGGCTGGTGTTCTCTGCCTCCTTCCAGGTATTCAGCAATGCTCTGGGAAGGACACAGGGTGCCTGATAGCGATTGACTGCAGCGGGGGCTCTAAAACGCTGGTTGGACACCAGGCAGGAAACAGCCAGGTCCTTGGGTTCTGACTGATTTGATGCATGGCCTTGAGCAAGATGCCCCCACTCTCTGGGCCTCAGTTTCCTCCTCTGTCCAGTGAGGGGATAGACTGGAGATAGCTAAGATGCCACCAGCTCTGACAGTCCAGGGGTTTGTGACTCTAAAGGTCATCAGCTAAATAGCATCACAGTGCAGTAGCCCCTCCTCCTGCCCAATCCCACTTCCATGCTCCGGGAATTGCAAAAGCACCCCAACATTTCATGTTCCCATGGTCTCCCCTGCTTCTGGGGGCCTGATGTCCAGGGCAGCACCAACCTCCAGCTGAAATCGGCTGCTTCTTCAAGGTTGACCTCCATCCACCCACAGAAAGCCTCATGAACACAGCAGCCTTAAGTGAAGTTTTCAAGGAGACGAAAATGGGGGGACAGGCATCTCTGTGCTCAAATGCCTTCCGATGTATGGGAGAAACGACATAATACCTAGGATAGAAATGAAGGGGGGAAGAGATGAAACCCAACTCCCCTGAGTCGATCATCATCGGACTCATGATGGGCACACGGAGGTTTATTATCCTGCTCTCGCTACCTTTGGGTATGTTTGGTAATTTCCATAATAAAACTCCAAATAACAACAAAAACTAAAAATGCGTCTTTCTGAGTCACCTATGGAATGCACAGTAGGGGAGACAAAGAAGCAACTCTTGCTCTGAAGAAACAATAATGTGATACGGTCGGTGCATTTTGAAATCTGAGGAGGCTTAGAAGAGCCTATTTCCTGGTGGTTTGCAGAGGCGGAAGCAGCGATCCAGTGGAAAACCAAATACACGGTTGCTTTCCACCCTGTTGACAAAATCATGCTTCATAGTCAAGTTAAGCTCCTTAGACCCATTCTCTAGTCTAAACTTACCCGCCCTACGCTAATGGTGCATCTTGACCAGTGTTCTTCGTCCTTTTGTTGTATACACAGCTTTTCTTTTCTTTTTTTTTTTTTTGAGACGGAATTTCACTCTTGTTGCCCAGGCTGGAGTACAATGGCGCACAATCTTGGCTCACTCCAACCTCTGCCTCCCGGGTTCAAGTGATTCTCCTGCCTGAACCTCCTGAGTAGCTGGGATTATAGACATGCACCACTACGCACAGGTAATTTTTGTATTTTTTGTAGAGACGGGGTTTCACCATGTTGGCCAGGCTGGTCTCGAACTCCTGAACTCTGGTGACCCGTCCGCCTTGGCCTCCCAAAGTGCTGGGATTACAGGCGTGAGCCACTGCACCTGGCCTCTTATTTTCAATTAAGTGTGTCCACAGAACTACTAACATAGTTTCTGAAAGGGCAAAAAAAAAAAAAGGGTAATTTTAGTCAAACAAATATTTTCATGAAGTTAAAAAAAAAAAAAGCGCACCAGTCCCCCAGTCTCCCCTCGGCTCCTGCTTCCTTTCCCCCGTCTTCTCCCCCAGTGCCTCCCCACCTGGCGCTATGCCCGGACTCTCCCCCTTGCCTTCTACACAGTGGTTTTGCCCCCTGCACAGCGGTTTCTCCCCCTTCCCTCATGCTTTGCAGCCCTTTCACACACCCAGGCCTATGACCCACACACTCGACAAGGACCCCACAAAGACTTCCCTCCCCAAGAAGAGCCGTGGGGCTACAGGATCGACACAGGCCCAGTGAGGCCAAAGTGTGGCTGGGAACAAAGGAGGCACGTCAAGGTGAGGTCCAGGCCATCTAAGCATCTATAGGGAAACATCTTGCCTTGTGGGACCAATTGCACTGGGAGCAATTTGAGGCCCAGGGCCCTCCCATGCCCAAAAGTTACCCCCAAAGTGGCTCTGCTGAGCCCACGCCTTGTTCTGCATCCTAATCCGGCACCAGAACTATATGGGAGCTAAGGACTGCCAAGGCTGGGTGCCTCATCCTGCAGAGGAGGAGTTCCCACCTAGAAAGGAAGACCCCTTGTTCAAGCTCACAGGGCAGGGTTTGTGGGGATTAGACACAAATCTGACCAGCCTCTCTCCTGCATAGAACCTTGTAGTAACTCCCACTGCCCATGGGACAAGGTCAGACGTCCTGACACACAGGCTGGCAGGACCTGCTCCTGCCACCCCATCCACCCACCTCCCACTGACCTTGCCAGCCTTGCACTGTCCCTTTTCCCCTCCGTCTTTATTCAGATGACTGTAACTCCCCCTTCTTGACTCTGCCCACGTCCTCTCTGGGCAGCGTTTCCTGACACTTGTCCACTAGCCCAAGTGGACTCCCGGGTTCCACTTGGGCAGAGCTGGGATTAAAAGTGAGACTCGGCCAGGCATAGTGGCTCATGCCTGTAATCCCAGCACTCTGGGAAGCCGAGGCAGATCACTTGAGATCAGGAGTTCGAGACCAGACTGACCAATATGGTGAAACCCCATCTCTACTAAAAATACAAAAATTAGCCAGGCATGGTGGCATGCACCTGTAGTCCCAGCTACTCGGGAGGCTGAGGCAGGAGAATTGCTTGAACCCAGGAGGCGGAGGTTGCAGTGAGCTAAGATCATGCCACCACACTCCAGTCTGGAAGACAGAGTGAGACTCTGTCTCAAAAAAAAAAAAAAAAAAATAATAATAATAATAATAATAATAAATAAAAGTGAGACTGTCCACCTCCAGAACCCACGGCCCCATCCGCTGAGCTCTGCCGCTCCAGCCAGGGAGGGAGAGCTGGCTGGAGACCCAGTTTCCTGATTCCCAAGCCCGTGCCTTCCCTCACTCCCCTGTGCTTCAGGGCAGAGGTGGGCTGCAGGTTGGATGGCGGCCACAGGGCCAGAGGAGGTTCTCCAGGAGCAGGCAGGGGTGGTCTTCCCGGTGCTCTTTGCAGAGTCCCCTAACACTCTGGTTCTTGAAAACCTCAAAGAGAAGGAAAGTCCAGAGTAGGGCTTGGGCCCGGTGGAAAGGAAGATTCTTCCCCTCCCTTCTCACCCAATACCTTTGCTTTCATGGAGCCCAGGCTGAGACCAAGTGAGGAAAGATACTTGCCCAGAGCTCCAAGGGCAGGACGGAGGCTCTGTCCCACCCTGGGTCTCAGTCCCCGCCCAGCCCTTCACTCACTCCCCTTGCCTCTGACCCATAAGGCTGACAACCCCCCTCCCCTCTCACCACCAGCCTGTCCAGGGCCCCCCTCAGCATCGCTGCTGGATGCCAGCAGGGAGAGGGCTGGAGAATGTTGTGGATCAGGACATGGACTCTGCAGCCAGCCCCAGGTCTGAAATCTGCCTTTGTCACCTATGACCTGTGTGATCTCAGGCAAGAAACATGACCTCTCTCTGCCTCTGTCTCCTTGTGTGGGAAATGGGATGATACAGTTCTGGCACATCATCAGAACACCAAACTGTTCATTGTGATCACCGGGCACCAGCACCAGCTCAGTTTTCATTCTCAGCTCAACTAGCTCATAACCTGAGTCTCTGTTTTCTCGGCTGCTAAATGGGCACAGTAACCATACTGCAAATAGCGCTGAACACGGGGACTACTGCAAATGGTACTAGACACTGGGTAGACCTTCTTAAGATGGTACTAGTGACAGGAATGCCCTTGCCCTCAGGATGCTTACAATCAAGCAAGGGCAACAGAAGAGTAACTGGCTTCTCCCTCTGCAGCCTAGTAGCTGCTTTCCTGGAGTCTCTGAGACAGTGGGGAGGAAGGCCACCAACCTGCTTGGCAGGCTTAGTAGGAACCACGTGAGCAAAGGTCTGGAAGAGAGAGGACATAACACAGTGAAAGAATAACGAAGGACATGCCTTTCTGGAGCATCTGCCCCCACAGGCCTCCTACCCTCTCCAGGTTTCTGCTAGGTGAGCTGGGAAGGACCAGAGGCAGCAGCTGTGGGTCACTGGGAGAATAAAGAAGAGGCTCATGTCCTCGTCATCTCCAAGGAGAGGCCATTAAGGAGATACTCTTGGGTAAGCAGGAGGCAAAACACACACACACACACACACACACACACACACACACACACAGAGAGAGAGAGAGAGAGAGAAAATGTAAAAGTGGGCCATGAATCTGGAGGTCTGGGACTAGCTGCTGTGTGAGCGTGGACAAGTCACCTGACCTGTCTGGATCTTGGCTTCATCTCTGTCCTGTGTGTGGTTTATGGGGAGCTGATCCATCTGCACATGTCCAGCCGGCCTGGGAGACCTCACCTTGTGGTCTGGGGCAGTTGTCCTAGGTCTCGGCAGACGTCACTTCCCAGATTTTTCCCTGTCCCCTGGGATTTGCTGCATGGGAATGCCAAGCCCTACTTCTTCAAAGCCACCGGGTCTTCCACACTGCCTGATGTTCGCCCATCCCCATCACCCAGCACCATCCTCCAGCTCGAGCAGAGGCTGGCAGGGCCCTACCCGCAGCCCCACTAGTTGGAGCGAGAACTGAAGGTGGCGGCACTCCCACTATGCACCAGGTTATTGGCAGGTATTAACTCCTTCAATCACCCCATGAGGTCACTGTTCATGTTTCCATTTTACAAATAAGGAAACAGGTTCAGAGAGGTTAAGTCACTGGCTCAAGGACACCCAGTCGGTATGTGGCTGAGCAAGCATTCCTGTTTCTGCTAAGTCAGCTGCTTGTCCTGTGCTGTGACACTCTGGGTACCAGAAGCTCACCAGGCTCCTGACCCTGCAGCTCTGAGCTGGGGAGCGAGGAGAAGGCTTGAGGCCAAGAGCATGGAGACTGTCCCAGCAGAGGCTAATGCCATGAGCATGAGCCTTACCTCCAGAAATGCCCTTCCTCCCGGTTCTTCTGAGAACCACCTCTGTAACTGCCCATTCATAGAGGAAAGAGCAAAAAACCGAGCACCCACCATTTGTCAGCTCTGTTCTGAGCACAACCTTGATGACCAACATGCATCCCTGCCTTCATGGGGATCACGGTCCAGGGTAGGAGACAAAGAAACTCAGGTCAGGAGTGCATGGAGTGTTATAGAAGAGGGGCATGGGGACTGTGGGAGCCAGAAAAGGAGTTCCTAGGCCAATCCAGAAATCAGGGAAAGCTTCCTGGAGGAAGAAATACATGTACAAATGGCTCCTCAGTGGGCTCGGACCAAGGAAGGTCTGCTTTGTTCCTTGTTATCTACCCAGGACTGAGGACAATGCCTGACAAAAGTGAACTCTCAGGAAAGAATGGCTGAAATGATTTGCTTAATTTGAAGTGATACAGTTTGGCTGTGTCCCCACCCAAATCTCATCTTGAATTGTAACTCCCACAATTCCTACGTTTAGTGGGAGGAACCTGGTGAGAGGTAATTGAATCATGGGGGTGGGTCTTTCCCATGCTGTTCTCCTGATAGTGAGTAAGTCTCACGAGATCTGATGGTTTTAAGAACGGGAGTTCCCCTGCACAAACTCTCTCTTTGCCTACTACCATCCATGTAAGATGTGACTTGCTCCTCCTTGCCTTCTGGCATGATTGTGAGGCGTCCCCAGCCATGTGGAACTGTAAGTCCATTAAACTTCTTTATTTTGTAAATTGCCCAGTCTCAGGTATGTATTTATCAGCAGTGTGAGAACAGACTAATACAGGAAGCTCCATGACAAATGACTGATGCCTTTAAGAATGTCAGGAAAATGTCTGGGATATTCGGGAACTGAGAAGGCAGTGGGGGTGGGGGTGTGTGGGTGAGCTCTGTCTTCAAAACCTGCAGGCACCACCAGCAAGAGAAAACCCACTGGACCTGGGGGACCCCAAGGGGCAAAGCCAGGACTGGTGGGAAGAGGCATATTTGGCTCCATCTCTAAGCAAGAGCATTTCAACAATCCAGCAGTTAGAAAGGCCGGGAGCTGTCTGTGAAGTTCTGAGTCCTCCGTTAGAGGGGTTTGAGCTGAGGCTGGATGGCTATCTATTAAGGATGCTGGAAAAATAAATAGATCAAAGGTCTTGGTGGGAGGCGGAGTCCGCTGAGTTTTCCAGGTCTCGTCTGTGGCTGAGTCTGAGATGTGCCTGCCCAACGGGCGACTCACTTTGTCCCCGCTAGCAGAACTCCCATTCAGGGTAGAACATCATGGCGCCCACTACAGGAGCTGAAAAGGATTGTTCTAAGCCTTTATGACTGTCCTCCTTTGTCAAAGCCTTCCCAGCCTGCTCTGCAACAGCAGCAGTCATGTGACCCAGTTCTGGCCAATGGTGTGTCTGTTGAGCAACTTCTAGAAAAGATCTTGTGTCCTCCCCACACAAGGGAGGCTGTCACCTAACCACTGTGGGGCAGCCCTTTCATCTTCCTTATGGGGATGAGGGTGAGAGTATAGGATGCCTGGCAGCCACCTTGAGACCATGAGGCAACAAACCGTAAGCTGAAAAGCACACACTCAGGACAGCAAAGGAGTGAAGTTTGGGGCAGCAAAGCTTAGCAATTCTGAGATACACCATCTTTTGATATTTGACATCTTTGAAATCAAGATGTATCTTATGATCATCATTAGGTGTTAGGGTGTACTTGGCTATTTTTTTTTAATCAATAGAGACATGGCATAGTTTAGGGATTTGTGCAATACCATGTAAATAATACATAGTGTAACCAAGAGCCCGACCAGACCTTTTCCAACTCAGCATGTGAGACATGGTCTGAGGGAAGGAAGGGAGATGAGCTCAAACATACTGAGCACCTACTATGTGCTCAGGCACTTCACAGGTGCCACCTCTCCCAATGTTCACACGCCCTGCACTTGCCCAGAGTCACTCACCCAGGAAGTGGCAGAAACAGGATGAAACGTAGATTTATTTGACTCTGAAGCTAAGGCTCCCACAGTTTGTTTGTCTCTGTCCTTGGGGCTGTGTCCTCTTCCAGTTCCGCAGCCGAGGGGCTGAGTGCAGGAGTTGTTGCCTCCTCCCCAGGCACCAGTGTCCAGATGGTTTGCAAACTGCTTGCCCCTCCGTCTCTCCTCTTCATCCTGGGGCCATGAGGAGCTGCCACAGGGCTTTTAAGAAGGGACTGACGGCTGGGCACGGTGGGTCACACCTGTAATCCCAGCATTTTGGGAGACCGAGGTGGGTGGATCACGATGTCAGGAGTTCGAGACCAGCCTGGCCAATATGGCGAAACCTCGTCTCTACTGAAAATACAAAAATTAGCTGGGTGTGGTGGCACGTGCCTGTAGTCCCAGCTACTCGGGAGGCTGAGGCAGAAGAATCGCTTGAACCCGGGAGGCGGAGGTTGCAGTGAGCCGAGATCATGCCACTGCACTCCAGCCTGGGCAAGACTCTGTCTCAAAAAAAAAAAAAAAAAAAGGAGAATGACATGGCACTAGTGACTTATTTCTCTGGGTTAAGCATGGCCCTCTCCAGCTCTCTTGCTTAAAAGACAAGGTGCTGATGCAGGGAAGTCTAACAACCCTACCCTCAGGCACAAGCATGTATCTTGTTGGGCTCCTCGAGTAGAGGAAGGATGAGGGACATGTCCCAGGGAAGGCCCCCAGGTCAGCCTCACTGGCTTCTCCAGGAGGTCAAGGGCTGGCAGAGGCCCTGCCCATCCCTCTGCCTTTACACTGACCTCCCCGCTCTGTCTTCTGCTGCTGTCACCCATGCCTTGGGCAGACCACACAGCCAGCCTGGCTACCCTGAGTCCATTCCCCTGACTTCACCTGAACAGCGGACAGCAGGAGTTGAACCTCTGAGCCTTGGATTCAGGACCGTCTGGGTTCAACTTCTGTCTCCCCCAGCTGTAGACAGGTGACCCTGGGGAGTTATTTATTCTCTCTAAACCTCAGTTTGTTTATCTGTAAAATGTGGGTAATGACACTTTACTATACAGACTTCTCGAGAGAATCAAATAAGACAAAAATATAATTGACAGAGCACCATGCTAGAGCAGAAAACTCTATAAACATCACTCTTATTTCTATTGTTGAAATTGTCCAGCAATGGTATCTGTGGAACATAAGGCTCAGAGAGGGGACATGAATTGCCCAGCACCATACAGCCAGTTGATGGCACAGCTGGAATCAGAATGTGAGTTTTTTTTCCCACTTAATAATAATAACAATAAAAATAACATTAATGGGGGCCATGTGCGGTGGCTCATGCCTGTAATCCCAGCACTTTGGGAGGCCAAGGTGGGTGGATCACCTGAGGTCAGGAGTTTGAGACCAGCCTGGCCAACATGGTGAAATCCCATCTCTACTAAAAATACAAAAATTAGCCCAGCATGATGGCGGGTGCCTGTAATCCCAGCTACTCGGGAGGCTGAGTCTGGAGAACTGCTTGAGTCTGAGAGGCAGAGGTTGCAGTGAGCCAAGATTGCGCCACTGCACTCCAGCCTGGGCGACAAAGCCAAACTCTGTCTCAAAAACAAAACAAAACAAATCATGCTGGGCGTGGTGGCTCACGCTTGTAATCCCAGCACTCTGGGAAACTGAGGTGGGTGGAGCATGAGGTCAGGAGATGGAGACCATCCTGGCTAACATGGTGAAACTCCATCTCTACTAAAAATACAAAAAATTAGCCGGGCATGGTGGCAGGCACCTGTAATTCCAGCTACTCGGGAGGCTGAGGCAGGAGAATAGCTTGAACCTGGAAGGCAGAGGTTGCAGTGAGCCAAGATTGTGCCACTGCACTCTAGCCTGGGTGACAAAGTGAGACTGTGTCTCAAAAAAAAAAAAAAAAAAAAAAAACACCACACACACACAAACAAAAACAAAACAACCGAAACAAAATAACATTAATGCCAGCTAACACTTACCAAGGGACATTCTACGTGTTTTAAGTGTGTTTTTTCATTTAATCCTTACGACTCTCTGAGATAGGTATTAGTCTTATTATAGCCATTTCATATATGAGAAAACTGAGGCACACTAAATAATTTTCCCAAAGCCACAGAGCCTCAGTGGTAAGCCCAGGATTTGAACCCAGGGAGTTCTGGCCCCAGAGTCCAGCAAGTGCTTGTTGCACATGCAACCAATTCACTAGTACATTTCCCCTGAAGACGCAAAGATGACTCTGGCAGTGTTCAGGCTCCAGACAGTGGTCTCAGACCAACCTAGCAGAGCTCATCAAAGCACACTGTGATGAGGAGGTGTCTTATCATCTCCTGCCTTCCTCATGAAAAAAAAAAAAAATGGAGTTCGCTGGGCCGTTCCAGGGCCCAGTGTCAGGCAGGACACTGGTTTCCTGAGCCTGGCATTGTGGCCCAGCACCCCAGGGCCATGCCTGGCTCTGCAGTTTCGTTTGGTGCCTACATGGAAGCTGGCCCAGGCCATGGCTCCTGTGAAAGCTGCAGGCCCGGGCATTCCCCGCAGGCAGCTGGAGAGCTGGCTGTCCAAGACAAAGGCAGCCTCTAAAGGTCAGAAGCTGCTCTGGGGCCTGGGATCTTTGCTTCCTGCTCCCAGCACAGCCTGTCCTCAGCCTGCAGGCTCCTCCTCCCAGTGCTCTCAGCCAGAAGGAAGGAGCAGGCAGATGGCACAGCCCCAGCCCTGCCTACAGCCCCCAGACGCGGAGCCCGACCCTGCCCTCCTTCTGCCAGGGGAAGGAAGTCCACTTCTTAAGCCTGGCATCCAGGGATGCTGAGGGGCTGAGATTAGAGAATTTCGGGGGGGTGATGGAACTGCTCCGTGTCTTGATTGTGGCAGTGTTTGCGTGACTTTGTTTTTCAAAACTTGTAAAACTGTGCACTGAAAAGAGGCAAATCACACCTCAAAAAAACCTAAAAGTCATATTTATAAATATAAATAAGCATAAGACTTGAAAAAAAGGAGATGGGGAAACTCTCCAGGACGTTGTTCTGGGCGGATTTCTTGAAAAATACCTCACAAGCACAGGCAACCAAAGCAAAAATGGACAAATGGGATCCCATCAAGTTAAAAAGCTTCTGCACAGCAAAGGAAACAATCAGCAAGGCGAAGAGACAGCCCACAGAAGGGGAGAAAATATTTGCAAACTATACATCTGACAAGGGATTAATAATCGAATAGATAAGGAACTCAAACAACCCTATAGGAAAAATCCTAATAACCCAGTTTTAAAATGGGCAAAAGGCTGGGCACAGTGGCTCACGCCTGTAATCCTAGCACTTTGGGAGGCCAAGGCGGGCAGAACACAAGGGCAGGAGATAGAGGCCACCCTGGCCAACACGGTGAAACCCTGTCTCTCCTAAAAATACAAAAATTAGCTGGGCATGGTGGCGCACGCCTGTAATCCCAGCTACTTGGGAGGCTGAGGCAGGAGAGTCGCTTGAACCAGGGAGTTGGAGGTTGCAGTGAGCCGAGATCGTGCCACTGCACTCCAGCCTGGCGACAGAGGGAGACTCCGTCTCAAAAAAAAAAAAAAAAAAAAAGAATGAAATCCTGTCATTTGCAACAACATGGATGAAACTGGAGGTCATTATGTTAAGTGAAGCAAGCCGGGCACAGAAAGACGAACTTCACATGTTCTCACTTATTTGTGGGAGCTAAAAATTAAAACAATTGAACCATGGAGATAGAGAGTAGAATGATGGTTATACGCTGGGAAGGGTAGTTGGGGGGCAGGGGAAAGTAGGGATGGTTAATGGGTCCAAAAATATAGTAGAAAGAATGAATAAGGCCAGGCATGGTGGCTCACACCTATAATAGCAACACTTTGGGAGGCTGAGGCAGGAGGAATTTGTGAACCCAGGAGTTCAACACCAGCCTGGGAAACATAGTAAGACCCTGTCTCTGTAAAAAATAAACAAAATTAGCCGGACATGGTGGTGCACACCTATAGTCCCAGCTACTTGGGAGGCTGAAGTGGGAGGATTGCTTGGGCCCAGGAGGTCAAGGCTGCAGTGAGCCATGATCACAGCACTGTACTCCAGCCTACGTGACAGAACAAGACCCTGTCTCAGAAAAAAAGGAATGAATAAGATCTAGTATTTGATAGCACAGCAGGGTAATTATAGCCAATAATAATTTAATTGTACATTTCAAAATAACTAACAGTATAATTGGGTTGTTTGTAACACAAAGGATAAATGCTTGAGGTAATGGATATCTCATCTACCCAGTAAATATATACACCTACTATGTACCCATAAAAATTTTTTAATTTTTTTCAATAAATAATTTAAAAAGAAAGAGCGGCCAGATGGATGGCTCATGCCTGTAATCCCAGCACTTTGGGAAGCCGAGGCAGGAGGATCACTTGAGCCCAGAAGTTTGAGACCAGCCTGGGAAACATAGCAAGAACTTGTCCCTATAAAAATAAATATATTTTTAAATTAGCCAGGCATGACTTTGGGAGGCTGAGATGGATGGATCACTTGAGGTTGGGAGTTTGAGACCAGCCTGGCCAACACAGTGAAACCTCATCTCTACAAAAAATACAAAAATTAACCTGGCATGGTGGTGTGCGCCTGTAATCCTCAGCTACTTGGGAGGCTGAGGCAGAAGAATCACTTGAACCCGGGAGGTGGAGGTTGCAGTGAGCTGAGATCGCGCCACTGCACTCCAGCCTGGACATCAGAGCGAGACTCCATCTCAAAAACAAACAAACAAAAAAACTAGCCAGATGTGGTGGCACATGTCTGTAGGCCCAGCTACTGGAATCTGTAGTCCTAGGATCACTTGAGCCCAGGAGTTCAAGGTCGCAGTGAGCTACGATGGTCCCACTGCACTCTACCCTGGGCAACAGAGCAAGACCTTGTCTCAAATAAATAAATAAAAATAAAAGGAGAAAGACCTAACACACTGAGGAGGCCGAGAGGAGCCCTGGCCACCTCGGCACTCATAGGCCCAGAAGGTCAAACACCAGCCCTGGGCTCCTGGCCACAGCCCTGCAGTGCTACTCAGGACCGCAGGGAGGACACTGAACCATAGGAATTTGAACACCTGAAGCCAGTGTTCAAAGAGGCAGCAAGACCAGGCCCCAGAATGCACGGATGCTGGCCCCAGCCACGGCCCCTGTGAAAGCTGCAGGCCCTGGCATTCACCCCAGGCAGCTGGGGAGCAGGCTTCCCAGGACAGCCTGTCCACTGTCGATTGCCTCATCCAACCCAGCCACGCATCCAAATACTCCTAGGACCCAGTCCCTTTGCCCTGCAACCAGACATCCCTCTCATCTGCTTGGGACTCTCCACCTCACTGAGCCTTTGTCATGTGTGAGGTCCCAGCTGGGTTTCTTTTCATCCCAGATAAGAGGAAAGTGGGGTCTAGAAAGGCTGAGTACCTGCCCACAGTCCCCCAGCTGATACAGAAATAAGACCGAGGCCAAGCTCCTGACCGCCATTATCCCATTAATCTTCACATCAACCTTGACGGAAACACTGTGAGTGGTCTTATTTTATAGATGAGAAAAATGACACACAGAGAGGGTAAGTTGCCCAAAGTCACACGGTAGTAAAAGGCAGAGTTGGGACTCAAACCCAGGAGACTGGCTCCAGGATACCACTCTCAGCCACTATCCTCTTATCCCCCTGAAGAGGGCAAGCTGCCACTACCTCATGCCACTGCCTAAAGAGTGTGCTTGGAGACTTTTACTGTCCTTGGTGGTCCACTGTTACCCCAGGCACCATTCTGCTAATAGTTGAGTTGGCAGAGTGGAGTAGTTGAGGCAGTCCGTGGAAGAGTGTGACTCTCCAGTGTAACCCCAGCTACAAGGGCCTCGCTTGGTTTTGCCACAGCTGAGTGAGTTTAGGAAGTTACTTCACAGCCCTGTGCCTCCAGGGGCCACACCTGTTTAAGGGATGCTGGCAGCAGCCCTACCTCTAATTAGTCATAGGTATCCAGGGCACATAACTGCACCTGGTACAGGGCAAACCTCCCCCGCAGAAGTGTTAACCAGTGTTGTCCTCACTGGCATCATCATTACTGTGTGAGGGTGGGAACAAAATACAAAACAATATGGTCTCCCTACTGCCAGAATCCAAAATAATGATCACTCAACTTCCAGGTCTCAGCAATAGCTTCCTGCCACACATGGGGCAGCTGCTCTTGTCTTGTCAACTTGATCCCAACCAAGGGACAGGGCCTCACAGCTAGACCCTGGGCCTTGCCTTCTGCAATGACCATCAAGCATCTTTCTTGGAGCCCCTTCTTTGTCCTCTGTCTGTCCCTCTATTTCCTCTGCTGTTGAAAGGGTTGGGGCAGGAGAGCACTGGAAGATTTCAGACACTGCAGGTAGGGAAGGGGAGATGGTGAGACCAGCACCGAGATCTGGTCCCAGGGTGGACTTCCCCAAAGACAGCCAGACTTGCTGTTCTACCACTTGGTGTGCTAAAATAGAGTCTGTCTTCTTCTTGACCTAGAGCACTATTACAAAAGGCTACCTTCACCGGAGCAGGACACTGTCCTATAGCATTTTGTTTAAAGCAATTATTTAATTGTTGTCTTCCAGATGGATGAGAAGAGGGCCTGTGTTTCTCTTATTCATGGCTGTGCCTTCAGGGCCTGGCACACAGCAAAAGTGAGGATAGATGAATGGATGGATGGATGAGTAAGTAAGTAGATGAATGGGTGGATGAATGGATGGGTGGATGAGCAGATGAATGGATGGATGGATGGCTGGATGGATGAGTGGATGAATGGGTAGATGGATGGATGAGTGAATGGATGGGTGGATGGGTGGATGGATAGATAACTGAGTGGGCAAATGGATAGATGGGTGGATGGGTGGATGGATGGATGAATGGATGAGTGGATGAATGGGTAGATGGATGGATGAGTGAATGGATAGGTGGATGGGTGGGTGGATAGATAACTGAGTGGGAAAATGGATAGATAGGTGGATGGGTGGATGGATGGATGGATGGATGGTGGGTGGATGGGTGGGTAGATGGATGGATGGATGGATGGATAGTGGGTGGATGGGTGGGTAGATAGATGGATGAGTGGATGGGTGGATGGATGAATCATGGGTGGATGGGTGGGTAGATCGATGGATGGATGGTGGGTGGATGGATGGATGGATGGATGGTGGGTCGATGGGTGGGTAGATGGATGGATGGTGGGTGGATGGATGGATGGATGGATGGATAGGGTAAATGATGCCCTGGAAAGGCTGGGTCTGGGGCCTCAGGGGGACCACTTGCCTTCTCTCCACCTGCTGCTCAGAACTGCAGACTTGTGACATCACCTCTACAAATCCTCTGTTGGAGGCCTTGGTTCTTATGATCCGTGGGCTAGTCCCTGAGCCCCTCAAGCAGGGCCAGAGTGGCAAACTAAAAAACCAGATCTGACAAAGGATAAAGATAGAAGGAAGGAGAAACTGGGGGTAGGGGTTGGTGGTGGGGGCAGGACAGCCCAGAACAAAGGGCTGGGAAGGCAGAGAAAGTAGTAGGTGGAGGAGAAGGGAAGGAGGGCAGGAGAGGGAGGCAAAACAGAAGCTGAAGGCAGACAGGGGGACTTGATCAAAGGAGAGGCAAATAGGGCAATCACCCGCTCCCTGTGTCCCTCTCAGGACTTTAATGAGCCTGCGCGTGGGTAAGAGCTCCACTTGGCTGACTTTCAAAGCCCTTCCTCTCCATTAGCACATCTCAGTCTCACAACATCTTTGTGGGTCGGTTTTATTATTATCCTCCCACCAGCATGGCCCCGAGGAAGGAAGACGTCAGAAGCAGCTGGCCTGGGCTCAGATTCCAGGCCTCACTCCTGGCTGGGGGACCCTGGCAGTTGTGTGGCCCCTGAGTCTCATCTTCCTTGCCTGTGAAATGGGGGGTGACAATGATGCCGTCTGGCAGGAATGTCACGAGAAGCAAACAAGAGCATGTGAGAGGGTCTGGTACCCAGGCAGGGCTGCCCATCCTCTGTCCTCCCTTCTTCCTCACTGAGCTTGGGTGCAGGCAGATGTGTGTGTGCCTGCACATCCGAACTGCCAGGAGGCTTCGGCGTGGCCCAGTGCCTGGGCCTGCCCCCACAGACTCTGGTTCCATTGATGTGGAGTAGGGCCTTGATATCAGGACTTTGTAAAACTCCCCAGGAGATTCTCGTGTGCAGCCAGAATTGGGAGGCTCTGGTCTAAGTATGTACACGTGGGTAAGACAGGAACTCTACCAGGAGACCCAAAGAACTAGTCCCATGGACGGTCTCTGGGGAGAGCAGCCAGTGGCCAGGGCCCGAGGCGGGCAGTGTGGGAAGGAGGAAGATGTTTCTCTGGATACCCTTGGGCCTTGTGAATTGAATTTTGTTCCATCTGCACGTATGACCTATCCAAAGAGTAAATTTGAATGTTTATAATCAGAAGCAAATGGGGCCGGGTACAGTGGCTCATGCTTGTAATCCCAGTACTTTGGGAGGCCAAGGCGGGTGGATCACTTGAGGTCAAGAGTTCGAGACCAGCCTGGCCAACATGGCAAAACCCCATCTCTAGTAAAAAATACAAAAATTAGCCGAGTGTGGTGGCACATGCCTGTAGTCCCCAGTACTCGGGAGGCTGAGGCAGGAGAATCACTTGAATCCAGGAGGTGGAGGCTGCAGTGAGCCGAGATCTCACCACTGCACTCCAGCCTGGGTGATACAGCGAGACTCCATCTCAAAAAATAATAAGAATAAGAATAAGCAAATGGGATTAAATTCAGCTCAACTCACTCCCAAGATTGGCAGGAAGTCCTTGATAGAAGTATTTTCAGGCCAGGTGTGGTTGGCTGTTGCCTGTAATCCCAGCACTTTGGGAGGCCAAGGCGGGTGGATCTCTTGAGCCGAGGAGTTTGAGACCAGCCTGAGCAACATAACAAAACCCCGTCTCTACTAAAAATACAAAAATTAGCCGGCTGTGGTGGTGCATGCCTGTGATCCTAGCTGCATGGGAGGCTGAGGTGGGAGGATCGCCTGAGCCTGGGAGGTCAAGGCTGCAGTGAGTTGTGATGGCACCACCCACTCTCACCTGGGTGACAGAGTGAGACCCTGTCTCAAAAAAAAAAAAGAGAGAAAGAAAAGAAAAAGAAAGAGAGAGAGGGAAGCATTTTTAGTTCCTTCCTCTTGGGTCCACGGGTCTTACAAGAACCCCAAGGTTCCCTGGTCCCTGGGAAATGGAGGTGACACTGGCCTCAGCTGTTAGGGGCTGAATTGTGTCCTGCAAAATTTCATCTGTTGAAGACCTAGGCCCCAGTACCTGAAAATAGGACTTTATTTGGAAATGGGGTCTTTAAAGTGGTAATTAAAGTCAAATGAGGTCCTTAAGGTGGGCCCTAATCCCGTAAGCCTGGTGTCCTCCTAAGAAGAGATTAGGACACAGACACACACAGAGGGACAACCAAGTGAGGACACAGGGAGAAGACGACCACCTACAAGACAAAGGCAGAGGCCTCAGAAGAAACCAACTTCGCCAACACCTTGATCTCAGACTCCTACACTCCAGAATTGTGAGACAAGAAATTCTGTTGTCTAAGCCACCGCATCCGCCTAGGCTTTCAGACAACAGTGTCTTCAGAGCATCCACCCTGTGTGCCAATTTCTCCTTTTCAGCTCTTCAAAACACAAAGTCTTGGCTAATGCCCTTCCTTCCCCGAGCAGCTGTAGGGCTAGACACCACGTAAGGACGTTTCTCAGTCTTCTTGTCTTTCTTCCTCCTTCTTCCCGCCCTCCCTTCCTTCCTTCCTAACCTTCTGCAGCCTCAGGACCCTTGCAGTTGCAACCAACCTCATTTTTGCTTGTTTCTTTTCTTTTCTTTTTTCTTTTTTTTTTTTTGAGATAGAGTCTCACTCTGTTTTTGTTTTTGTTGTTGTTGTTTTTCGAGACAGAGTCTTGCTCTGTTGCCCAGGCTGGAGTGCAGTGGTACATTCTCAACTCACTGCAACTTCTGCCTCCCGAGTTCAAGCAATTCTCCTGCCTCAGCCTCCCAAGTAGCTGGGACTACAGATGTGCACCACCACACCTGGCTAATTTTTGTATTTTTAGTAGAGACAGGGTTTCACCATGTTGGCCAGGCTGGTCTCGAACTCCTGACCTCAGGTGATCCTCCCGCCTCAGCCTCCCACAATGCTGGGATTACAGGCATGAGCCACCGTCTCCAGCAGGCTCATTAACTTTTTTACATTTTTTTTTCCTGAGACAGAGTCATGCTCTGTTGCCCAGACTGGAGTGCAGTGGCATAATCTCGGCTCACTGCAGCCTCTGCCTCCAGGGTGCAAGGGATTCCCCTGCCTCAGCCTCTCAAGTAGCTGGGACTACAGGCACGCGCCACCATGCCCGACCCTGTCACCCAGGCTGCAGTACAGTGGTGCAATCTCGGCTCACTGTAACCTCTGCCTCCCGAGTTCAAGTGATTCTTGTGCCTTGGCCTCCCGCATAGCTGGGATTACATGCGTGCGACACCACACTCAGCTAATTTTTGTATTTTTAGTAGAAATGGAGTTTCACCATGTTGGCCAGGCTGATCTTGAACTCCTGACCTCAGGTGATCCACCCACCTCAGCCTCCCAAAGTGCGCAACTAACCTCAGTTTATTTTATTTCATTATTATTATTTTGAGACTGAGTCTCTCTGTCGCCCAGGCTAGAGTGCGGCGGCATGATCCCGGGAAGAAAATAGCGGCTGAACGATCCGGCACAATAGGATGGGCAGAGCCCACTGGAGTTCCCTTAGAGTGAGCAGGAGCATAAAGCCCAGTGGCCAGAGATCTTGGGCAGAGCCCGCTGCAGGAACACAGAGATCAAAAGGAAGATAAACAGAGGACAGAACTCAGACCCAGAGTCAGACAGCACTCTGCCCAGGTCTGCGGCCACCAGCTGCAGGAGCCTGAGCACCTTCCTTAACCTCTCAGAGCCTCTTTGCTCATCCATAAAATGAGGAATAAATTATTCCTCCCTCGCAGGCGGTGCGGTGAGGATGAAATGAGAGAGGAGTTTGAGGCATGTGGCTCTGTGCACAGTTTTGTATAGAATACCTCACTTAGCCTTCCTCCGAACCTCAGTTTCCCCATCTTCGAACTGGGGGTCGCCATATTCCCTCCTCAGAGGATTGGGGTTTGATTGGAGAAGCAATGCGCAAACCACTGGAACATTTAAGACACACACACCAGAGCACCGGCATTGGTGTTCCCCACCCACCGGGAGGCATATCCCACGGGCTCTGGGACTCAGAAAGGAAATTCTCTCAGGGCCTGCAGGCTGAGGCTGAGTCTAGAAGAGCATGAGTGGCCTGGGGAAGGAATCCATTATCTGCCCAGGGTGGCCAGTGCTCAGGTGCACCCTGCACCCCCATCTCTGCACCCCACCCACACTCAGTGACATGCTGGGCGGACGGAGCAGAGTGGAGACGTCAACCTGCCTGAACATGCCAAGTGCCCACGTGAGCAGGGGGTGCTGTTATGCAGCAAGAGCCTCTTGGTCTTCCCGTCTCTTCTTTCTCTCCAGATGTTTGACCCTCAGGGACTCCTGTCTCCTACCCGGCCTGAGGTCCCAGACGGTGTGATGTGGAGTGTGGACAGGCACTCAGCCTCAGGGGTGGTGCAGACCTGGGCGTGGGGCCTTGCCCTGTCCCTTCCTGGTGGTGTGACCCCACTGGGACTCCCTCTCCTCTTCTAGGGGCTCTACTGAGTGAGGAAGGATGCTCGTCTCTGTCTGCAGGAGGCCGGGAGAGACTCCAAGGGGACCTCTCACTAAGCAATCTGAGTATAATTGAATCCTATTTTCCGCACCCTGGGAGACTGACAGTCAATGGGAACCCAGCGAGGGCCTGCTGAGATAATGAACAAGGAAGTCCTTGGAAAACTGCAGTGTGCATGCAAATGGGCCCCTATGCCAGCCTCATTCACACAGATTTTTAAACTCCTGAAAGCCGGGGCAGTCATGCTTGCTTAAAGTGAAGTAGACCCATGCATTGGGGAAGATCCTTTCCCTTCCTGGGGGCTGGAGAGGGCGACAGTGACAGGCACCCATCAGGCTCCTGGAATGCTGCAAAATAATCTGAGCATCTTCTGTGGCCTGCCCCCGCCGGCACCTGCACCCCCATCTCTGCACCCCACCCACACTCAGTGACATGCTGGGCGGAAGGAGCAGAGTGGAGATGTCAACCTGCCTGAACATGCCAAGTGCCCACGTGAGCAGGGGGTGCTGTTATGCAGCAGGAAAAGGACAGGAGTGGATGCTTCTGCCCAGAAGGGGTTCTCTTCCTCGCTGCCTCCATTTCCAAAAAGACACTGAGGTTCAGAAACTGAAGCTCAGCAAGCCCCATATACACACACAGCTTGGAAGCAGCAGAACGGTGATTCCAGCCTGAGTCACCACAATGTCCTGGCTTTGTCCCATGACAGCATGAAGCCTCCAAGTCCTCCATTTGTCCCCTCCCTCTGTCCCCCACCTCTCCCTAATCCCAGTCCCCTCACCTAGGTGGCTCTCCTACCTCCAGGCTCCCTCCACTTGGCTCCAGCCTGGACCCATCTGTGGAGGTGCCTTTTCCACAAAAAGCTTGCTTTACGTTTCTGTCCTAACTTCGCTCAAGAACCTGCTATGACTCCCTATTACTTCTAAGAATCAAGCCTGAAATTCCTAGCCAGGCACAAAAGGCTTCTTGAGCATCTGGTTCCATCTCACCTATATAGTCCCACCTGTCCTTGCCCTGCTTACAGACCCTCCTCTCCAAGTGGGCTGATCTGTCAGCCCCTCCTCTAAGAAGCCTCCCCAGCTGCACAGACCCACAATAGTTTCATCTCCTCTGAAACATATATATAGTGGGGAGAATAATGGCTCCTCAAGAAGTTCATGTCCTAATCCCTGGAGCCTGTGGATATGTTAGGTTACACAGCAAAGAGAAATTCGGGTTGCAGAGGGAATTCAGGTTGCTAATCAGCTGGCTTTATTTTTATTTTATTTTATTTTATTTTTTGAGACAGAGTCTCACTCTGTTGCCCAGGCTGGAGTGCAGTGGTGCGATCTCGGCTCACTGCAAACTCCGCCTCCTGGGTTCACGCCATTCTCCTGCCTCAGCCTCCCCAGTAGCTGGGACTACAGGTGCCCGTCACCACGCCTGGCTAATTTTTTTTGTATTTTTAGTAGAGACAAGGTTTCACCACGCTGGCCAGGTTGGTCTCGATCTCCTGACCTCGTGATCTGCCCACCTCAGCCTCCCAAAGTGGTGGGATTACAGGCGTGAGCCACCGTGTCTGGCCTCAGCTGGCTTTAAAATAGGGAGGGTATCCTGGATTCCCCTGGACCCAGTGGAAGCACAAGGCCTTTTAAAAGTGGAAGAGGGAGGCAGACAGGTCAGAGTGACGTGATGTGAGAAGGATTTGACAGGCCATCGCTGGCTCTGAAGATGGCAGGCAGCCACAACTCAAGGAGCACGGGCAGCTGGAAAGACAAGAAAACGGATTCTCAGCTAGGCACGGTGGCTCATGCCTAGAATCCCAGCACTTTGGGAGGCCAAGGCAGGAGAATCGTTTGAGCTCAGAAGTTTGAGACCAGCCTGGGCAACACAGTGAGACCCCATCTCTACAAAAAATACAAAAATTAGCCTGGCGTGGTGGCACATGCCTGTGGGCCCAGCTACTGCAGAGGCTGAGGTGAGAGGATCACTTGAGTCTGGAGGGTCCAGCCTGCAGTAAGCCGTGTTGATGCCACTGCACTCCAGCCTGGGCGACGTATAGGAACCTGTCTCAAAAAAAAAAAAAAATAGCCAGGAGCGGTGGCTCACGCCTGTACTCCCAGCATTTTGGGAGGCCGAGGCGGGTGGATCACCTGAGGTCAGGAGTTCAGGACCAGCCTGGCGAACATTTGTACTAGAAACTACAAACATTAGCTGGGCGTGGTGCTGCGCGCCTATAATCCCAGTTACCCGGGAGGCTGAGACAGGAGAATTTCTTGAACCCAGGAGGCGGAGCCAAGATCGCGCCATTGCACTCCAGCCTGGGCAACAAGAGCAAAACTCTGTCTCAAAAAAAAAAATTAAAAAAAGAAAATAAAATGGCTGGGTGCGGTGGCTCACACCTGTAATCCCAAAACTTTGGGAGGCTGAGGCAGACAGATCACTTGAGGTCAGGAGTTCGAGACCAGCCTGACCAACATGATAAAACTCAGTCACTGCAAAAAATACAAAAATTAGCCAGGCATGGTGGTGCGTGCCTGTAATCCCAGTTACTCAGGAGGCTGAGGCAGGAGAATGGCTTGAACCCAGGAGGCGGAGGTTGCAGTGAGCCAAGATAGTGCCACTGCATTCCAGCCTAGATGACAGAGTGAGGCTGTCTCAAAATTAAAAAAAAAAAAAAGAAAAAAGGAAGAAACATAAACATAAAATAAAGAAAATGGATTCTCCTCAAGAGCTCCAGAGGCACCACACCCCTGCAGACACCTTGATTCTAGCCCAACTGTATCTGTGTGAGATTTCTGATCTATAGAATTGTAAAATAATAAATTCATTTTTTTTAAGCCAATAGGTGGTAATTTGTTAAAGCAGCGATAAGAAGCTAATACACCCACCCAGAGGAAACCATACCAGCTGCCAAAATAATCTGGGGCCTGAGTCCTTTGATGAGCCACCTAACTCATTAGCCTTGATTTCTTCATCTGTAAAAGCCGAATGGCAACGTGACCTCTTAGGTCTGTCGGGAGGGCTGAGGGATGCTGAGGACGATGTAAGCCCCATGGTTCTCATTGCTGCTGAGGTGGCGCAATCACTCTGAAGACAGATATTAATGACCCCCAGGTTCTCCCTTCTGCAGATTAAAAATCCCAACTCACACCTAGTGTCATTCCTTGCATTTCTAATCACTTATAGGAAGGGCCTTGTCTTCATAAATAAGTTACCAGCATCCCAGGGCTCAGACTGTCTTCATTAAGGACTTAAAAAAAAATTATTCTTCTGGGTATATAGGTAGCTCATGTCTGTAGTCCCAGAACTTTGGGAGGCCAAGGTGGGTGGATCACTTGAGCCCAGCAGTTTGAAATCAGCCTGGGCAACATGGCAAAACACTGTCTGTACCAAAAAAAAAAAAAAAAAAAAAAAAAAAATATATATATATATATATATATATATATATATATATATTTTCACAAAATTAGCCAGGCATGGTGGTGCACACCTATAGTCCCAGCTACTCAGGAGGCTGAGGTGGGAGGATCACTTGAACCCAGGAGGTCAAGGCTGCAGTAAGCCATGATTGCACCACTGCACTCCAGCCTGGATGGCAGAGCAAGACCGTCTCAAAAAAATCATTCTTACTATTAATAATAATAGATTATTATAAATAATTATTATAAATAATCTGTTATTTTTTGTGTCTTTTGTCTCTATCTTTTATCTTTTGTCTCTATCTCTGTCTGTCTCTGTCTCTGATGCTTTTGCTTGTCCTGACAGGAGGGAGAGCTGAGGAGGGAAGAGGAGATTATTATAAATAATCTATTATTATTATAAACTATTATTATAAACTATGATTATTCCAGTAGTTCTCGACCAGGGCCAATTTTGTCTCTGGGGACATCTGTCAATGTCTGGAGACATGTTTGGTGGTCACAACTGAAGGATGCTACTGGCATCTAGTGGGTGGAGACCAGGGGTGCTACTCCACATTTTGCAAGCACAGGGAAGCCCCTTACAACGGAGACTTATCCAGGCCCAAATGTCCACAGTGCAGAGGCCGAGAAGCCAGATGTTCAGCACGTGCTAGGCTAGTTGGAGACATTTTGCATCCATGATCTCCAAACCTTACAACAACTCTGCAAGTCAGCACTGTCCGGCAGAAGGTCAGAGGCTCAGAGAGGTCAAGGAAGGTGTCCAAAATCACACAGTGGGGAAGAGGCTAAGCCAAGATTTCCTCACGGGACTCTGCCGTCTGCTCTCAAAGCCAGGGGGGCCCTCCTGACTGTGTCCACCTTCTGCAGGCTGTGGGGTGTCATGTCTGTGTCACAGGAACCTCTTGCCGATGAAGACCTTGGTGTCCAGTCTTGTCCATCCCATCAGAGCCCCTGGAAAGCTCCTACTGCCCCCGCCTGCTGCAGCCCAAAGAAGAGAGAGGGGAGGGGAGAAGGGAGGTGCTCGGAGGATGCTCTTTTCTTCAGTGGCATGTGTTTGTTTAATAGAGGGCAACAAATTTCCCCAGGACGCCCCTGTGGTGTAAATATTTACCCATCAGGAGCTCCAGGAGGACCCTGTCCTGGAGACAACGTGAAGCCTTAGAGAACGTGCAGACTTGGAAGGGGAGCAGAGGGAGCCAGGAAGGTGGTGAAGGGGAAGGCGTTGGGGAGAGGAGGAGGGAAGCAGAAAGAAGGGGAGAAACCCCTCTCCCAGCACCGACCTCACACATGCTGCCGTCTCTCTCTCATTCACTCTATCGCCGTCTCCAACTCTGTCTGTCTTTCATCTCTATCTCTGTCTGTCTCTGTCTCTGATGCTTTTGCTTGTCCTGACAGGAGGGAGAGCTGAGGAGGGAAGAGGAGAGCGGGCTGGTGGCAGCCAGGTGGAGACTTGTCCCCCGAAGTCTCCAGACACCCCTTCCTAAGTATCTCTGTCTCTGCATCCATCTCTGATTCTGCCTCTTTCCCAGGACCCACTCCCTCTCCCTCTCCCTATCTCTCTCTCTCTCTCTCTCTCTCTCTCTATATATATATATATATATATCTTTTGTCTCTATCTCTGTCTTCCTATATTTGTCCCTCTCTGTCTGTCTGTCTCTGATTCACTCTGTCATTCTCTCCTTCCCTGTCTGCCTTTTGTCTCTCTCTCTCTCCCTGTCTTTCTGTCTCTGATGCTCTGCCCTGTCTCTGTTTCTGTATATCTGTCCCTCTGTCTCTGTCTTTATCTCTCTGTCTCTATTTATGTCTCTATCTCTGTCTGTCTCTCTGATTCACTCTGTCATTCTCTCCTCTGCCTTGTCTCTATCTCTGCCCCTTTCTGTCTCTGATGCTCTACCCCATCTCTGTCTCTCTGTATCTGTCCCTCTGTCTCTTTCTCTGTCTCTGTTTCTATCTCTCTGTCCCTGTCTCTGTCTCTGTGTCTCTCTGAATCACTCTGTCAGTGTCTCCTTCTCTGTCTTTTGTCTCCATTTCTGTCCCTGTCTCTGACGCGCTTGCTCAGCCCCGTTGTCTCTGTCTCTCTATCTCTGTCCCTCTGTCTCTCTGATGTCCTGTCTGGAAACACAGACTTGTGACATAAAACAGGTGACAGCACTCAGGTCCAGGCTCTGTGAGGCCCAGTGTCTGTGCCTGGACCCAGGGAGGCTGCGTGTCTGCAGGGAGGGCAGGCCCGTGTCGTGTCAGGATGGACAGGCAGGCTGAGGTCTTCAGGGAACAGAGGGGCAGAAGCCAGGAGGGAGGAAGTGGCCAGTGAGAGCCCCTTCCCCAGACAGCAAGAGGCCGTCACCCTCCCCCTGCCCCTGAGCTGCACAGATAGCATCTCAGCCCTCAGCTTCACCCTGAGCAGCCCTCTCCATGCCTCCCAGCCTCAGTTTCCTCATCTGCAAAGCAGGGATAGCGGCACTTTCCTCTCGGGGTGGGTGAGAGTGCTCCAGAGTGACATGAAGGAAGCCGCTGGTGAGACCCACATGCAAGGCGGACGGGACACACAGGATCCTGTCCCTCTCTCTCAGGGCTGAACTCTACAGCACGTAGAGTGCTGTACAAGTGGCAGAACTATCTTGAAAATGTTCTATTTGCACAAGAACTGGCCACACTGGCACCACCACCCCAGCGGAGGAGTCGGACTGATTATTTAACACAAACTCACACACAGGGCTAACCAGGAGCTGCAGAGTCAACGAAAAGCCAGGCTTCCAGTGCCAAGGGCTTCTTTCTCACTTTACAGCTAGTACAGAAAGTGAAGTGCCCTGCCCTGCCCTGCCCGCTGCCAGACGTTTCCGCATGGTATTTCATGTAGCCCAGAGGTGACTATGATCCTTAGCGTCACTTTACCGTGGAGGAACGTGAGGCGGCCACCCACCTGTTTATTCAACACACATCTGCCGGGCACCTGCCCGGCTCCATGCTCCAGACACAAAGTGGCCGACCAGGAAGCCAGAGTCCCTGTGGCGTGGAGCCTACGTCCTACTGTAGGCAGACAACAGAAACACCACACGGTTCCAGGGTGTGACATCTGCCATAAAGAGGGTGGAGAAAAGTGGTGTGGTCGAGGCCTGCGTGGGGGTGGGGAGGGGTGGAGTGATCCAGGCAGGGGGTTCCACAGGTGCAAAGGGCTGGGTGCTGGACGAAGCTGAAGGCTGTTGGAGGACCAGGGAGGAGGGCAGAGTCTTGGAGGCCTAGGTCAAGTGATGCCCAAGCCCCCTGCAGGTAAAGGCAGGCACCAAGTTTCACCCTACTCGTTTTCTGGGTGCCTGGTTTTTACACATGGATGAGGGGAGCAGGAGAGGGAAGAAAAAAGGGCAGAAGCCAGGGGCTGAGATAGCACAGGGCAGGTGGGGGCCCAGGTGCGTCTAAGACCCTCCCACCCCATCACCCTGCAGGATCAGGCACCTGAAAGGGGATCTTGCCCCAGGGGGTCTCAGTCCCCTGCAGAAGCCACAGGGCCTGGATTCCCTGGAATCAGCCTTGTCTGTCAGATCCCAGCTGCTTTCCTTACCACCCGCAGGCCTCAGGGCTTCCCCGCCTCTCATGCTCCCTTCCTTCTCCCTAGAGAGAGGGGCTCATCCTTTTTACCCACTCAGGAACCGCTGCTAACAAAGCTGGGCGCCAGAGCCGCTGACATCATATGCTGAGGGCCCATGTCTGCTTCTGCAGGGGGACAAAGGACAGACGAGTTAACAAAGACAGGGGCAAAGTGAGGCAGTAACTGAGAGAAACCCAACCCCTGGGTCCGGCACAGAGATAAATGAGGGCACAAAGCCCCCTCTCGAGTCACCTGGTCGACCTGGAGACACTGCCAGGCTCGAGGCCCGTCTGGGGCTTGTCATGAGTCAGAGAACTCTGGAGATGGCAGATCAATAATTGTCAGAAACAACCGGCCGGCTGAGGTTAGGCTGGGGGCCTCCCCCATCTCCATGAACGCGCAGCTTGCGTTGGCAGAGCCGCCTGGCAAGGGGGCCGATCTCTTCGCCTTGCTGAGGATAATCTCCCCACACTGAGACCCGCAAAGTTTGACTTAAATGTTCCCGTTGCCTGGGCAACCTTCTCTGCTGGTTCTCCCGTCATTCTTCATCGAAAACCCTGGTAGGAACTTTTTGCTTCAATTGGAAACTTACAGTTGCCAAGGCAACCCCATCAAAGCATCCTGAGGTTGCAAGTGGGCTGTAGGTGATGGGAGGAGTCCCATCTATTGTTGGCCCAAGGTGGCTGCAGAGAGGGGAGGATGGATGGGGCAATGGTGGGTGAGGTGAACACCATTTGGGGTAGAGCATGGAGGGGAAAGAGGGAGTTTCCGGGAAAGAAAGGACAGCAGGACTCCACAAGTGCATTCATTCATTCACTTGCTTGTCCATCATTCATTCCCTTGCTCATCTACAACCACTTGAGCACTTGTTATGTGCTGGACTCTCTTTGTTTCCTGAGGGCTTGGGGGATGAAGGAGTGGGTAGACCCCTCCTCAACACACACAGCCCTCTGACATGGAAAAGCGTGAGCGGACAGAGTGCTGGTTTTGGAGTCAGATGGACCCGGGTTTTTCTCTGGATTCCCAACTCTTTCCTCATTGACAAATGGGGCATAAAAGTAGAACCACTTCTGAAGATGTAGGGAGCCCCAGACGAGGCCTCAGGTGGAGAGGACCAGTGTCAACGTGTTGCCGTGGGGACCGGGTTGTTGGTTGGATCTTCTCATTCGATGCTCCTCCTGTCTTCAGAAGTCCCTGGTCAGTGACTGTGGCTCCGGTTGGATTCTCCAGTGGGAGTGAAAGGGCCAACCCTGAAGGTGGCCATTTGGTGGCAAAAGGGTGGCAACGTAGAAACCAGGCGGAGTCAGGCGGGCGAGTCTGGGCGAGTCCTCACCCACTTAGAGACAGCGCTTCCTCCCCTGGAGTCTGTCCCAGGAGGGGAGAGGGAAAGGGACAGGGGAGGGAAAGAGAGAGGTGTGTGACCCTGGAGGGGGTCTTCCTGCGAGGGCTTTCTAGGCACGATCTCATTTAATGCCAGCAGTCCCGGGGGCAGTTTTCCTTCCCCCTGTTCTGCAGATTGGGAAACTCAAGATCAGAGAAGTGGAATAAGGTCGCCCAGAGAGGAAGCAGCCTCTCCGGAACTCAACCGTGGGCCATGTTCTTTCCAAAATCCCTCATCTAATTCTCGTGACAGTCCCAGGAGGCAGATTCCATTATCCCCATTCTGTTGATGAGAACAAATCTGAGAGGTCAGACAGCTCACCTAGGATCACACAGCTCCTATAGCACCCTTCCCTGTCTCCTTCTCAGCCCAAGGCCCAACCATCCCAGTACTGTGGGAGGCTGAGGCAGGAGGATTGCTTGAGGCCAGAAGTTTGAGACCAGCCTGGGCAACATAGCAGGACCCCATCTTTACAAAAAAAGATTTTTAATTAGCTGGGCATGGTGGTGCACACCTGTAGCCCCAGCTACTCCAGTGGCTGAGGCAGGAGGTCCACTTCAGCCCAAGAGGTTGAGGCTGCAGTGAACAGTGATTGTGTCACTGAACTCCAGCCTGGGAGACAGAGTGAGACCCTGTCTCTAAAAAAAATAAGAATAAAAATATAAATCTTAGGATGAGTAGGATTTGGCCCAAGAAAGAGGAAGGGCTTTCCAGGCAGAGCATAGAGCATAGCCAAAGCCAGTAATAGGACAGAGCAAGGTGCCGGAAAACTGCCACATGTCAGCATGGGCGGGGGCACAGAGGCCACAGCAGGGGCAGAAAGACCACGGCTGGGACAGAGGGGCCACGGCTGGGACAGAGAGGCCACAGCTGGGACAAAGAGGCCACGGTTGGGACACAGCGGCCACAATCAGGACAGAGAAGCCACGGCTGGGCAGAGAGGCCACAGCTGGAACAGAGAAGCCGCAACTGGGAAAAAGAGGCCATGGCTGGGGCAGAGAAGCCACAGCAGGGACAGAGAGGCCATGGCTGGGACAGAGAGGCCATAGCTGGGGTACTCAGCATGGACTTAAGTGCAGAGACACGATAGGGGCAAGGAGCCTGGGCCTCTGTCAGTTCCAAAGACACAGCGATTCATTTCTGCTTCGTTTCTGTGCTTGCCTAGAACGTTCTTCCCTGACTGTATGGCTGGCTCTCCTCCTCCTTCAGTTCTAGGCCTGAGTGACAGCGGCTCAGAGAAGCCAACCCTGACCAGCCCTGAGAAGCAGACGCCTCAGGGAGTCCTCATCTCAGTACCCTCGGTTTCCTGCAAAGCCCATACGGGTTGCTTTCCTGCTCCTAGTTCTTCAACCTGCCCTGCTGACAACCCCCCTTTCCTCCTGTGGCTTTGCCTCATCTCCCACCAGAGGCAGGGTGTCCTTTCCCACCACACTGATGCTGGACTTGACCATGAGGCTTGCTTTGGCCAATGGAATGTGGGCAGAAGTGAGTGTCCCAGTGCTGGGCATTACAGGTCCCCATTCACTTCTTGCCCGTCTGCCACCACCATGGGACAAACAAGTCCCAGGTGGCCCAGTGGTCCATGGATGAGAGGCCCAGGAAGCAGCCCTGGAGCTAAGCCCGGTCTAGTCACTCCATCTGTTGATCCCCACTCAACAGACAGCCTTCAGAGTGAGAATAATGCGTGTTGTTTGAAGCCACTAAACCTGGAGGGTGTTCGTTTGTGGCATTATTATGATAATAGATGACCAATGCCCAGCACTTAACACCTCCCTCAGTTCCCTCTGTCTCCTCATCGCTGTCTTCTCCCACACCAGGCTGGATGCATGCTCCTGGAGAGCCAGGACCCTTGTCTGTCTCATTCCCCATTGCATCCTCGGGGTCTGATGCCCGGCCTGGGGCACTGCGGAACTTCAGATGTGTGCTGAGTGAGTGAATGACGAATACGATGATGTTTTGTGGGGCGTTTAGCAGGAGTGGAGGGTCTGGCATGTGGTTGGGAAGATGACTCCAGCTGCTGGAAGAGGGGAGGGATGGCAGTGGGGAGGACTCTGCAGAGGGGGCCAGTGGGGAAGCTCCCACCACGGTCCAGAGGGAGACAAAGGAGGCTGGGACCCCAGAATGAGCAGAGACGAAGACATAGCTAAAGCCAACTTCGCCTTCCCGTAGGCCAGGCTCTCCACATAGCTCTCTTCGTTCGATCCTCATGACCACTGTACGAGGCAGGCGCTTTGATCATTCTTATTTTCTAGAAGAGGAAACTGAGACATAGAGAGTCCGGCCCTGAGGTCCTCATGCTGACTCCTCCCCCAAGCCCTTGTTTCCGGTCTCATTTTCAGAGTAAACATCAGCAGACATGAGACACCGCATGTGTGGGAGGAGGGGACAGTTCCCCACCTGGGGAGAAACCAGGGAAAGGGCGTTGTTGTTTCTTGTAGTTTTATCAAACCTGCTGGGTCATTCCCCTGGATTTTTTTGGGCACAATGCCAGGCCCCAGGGGCCCCGTTTCCCTGAGTGGACTCGGGGAGGCAGGATCTGTGAAGACTGAGGGGGCTAAGGGCATAAAGCAGCTTCACAAGAGCACGCTGCTGCCCGGTCTCTCCCAGCCCCGCTCCTTGCCTGCCCCAACCCGAAGGCTGTGGACGGTTTCCTCCTTAAGAGTTAATGAGCTGGCCAGGTGTGGTGGCTCACACCTGTAATCCCAGCACTTTGGGAGGCGGAGACAGGCCGATCACTTGAGGTCAGGAGTCCGAGACCAGCCCGGCCAACATGGTGACACCCTGTCTCTACTAAAAATAGATTACGGGCATGGTGATGTGTGTGCATAGTCCCAGCTACTCGGGAGGCTGAGGCAGGAGAATCCCTTGCACCCTGGAGGCAGAGGCTGCAGTGAGCCAAGATCGTGCCACTGCACTCCAGCCTGGGCAACAGAATACGACTCTGTCTCAAAAATAAATAAATAAATAAATACATAAATACATAAATAAAATAACAACAACAAAAAGTCCATAAGCCCCACACCCTTCTCCCAGGAATGAGAGAGGACTCCTTACAGATACAATCTCGGGCATCGCTAAGCCATGTGTCACTCAAACCCAGAAGGAACAAGGGGCTCTTGTGCAGGCAGCAGAACCCTCATGTGGGCTGGGAACCCCCAAACCCGTCGGGGAAGGAGCGCAGAGAGTAACACTCCCATCTGTTCCACCCTTTGCAGTTTACAAAGCACTTTCCCACACAGCTTCATGTCGAATCCTCACAGCAACACCGAGAGGGACGCAGGTTTCCCACCCAGAGCCGGGAAGCCCGAGGCTGATGCTGCACGCCCTCGGCCAGGAAGGGCCAGCAGGACCAGCCTTGGGGCTGAACCCCTGGTCTTCTAGCTGCCGTCCCTGAGCTGGTTCTGTCCTAGAGAAGCGCGGACCGCTGCCCGGAGTCGGGGCAGAGCAGACTGATGCCTTAGGGTACAGGTGATGCTGAGGCCCCCGGAGGGCTTGGCTCATGCAGGGGCCTCGTGACCCACCTGGGCAGTTGGGGCAGGACACTGGTGACCGGAGCACTTGTCTCTGCGGAGGGAACTAGAATCTCTAGAACAAACCCCCCCATTCAGAAAAGACTCTCAGAAAGGATTTGGGTGATGAAGATGCTCAGGGAACCGAGATGAGAGAAATATGAAGGTGAGGGGGTGCGGTGAGTCCAGGACTAGAGGAGAAGCCAATCTGGAAAATTCTGCGGGCAGAGTTGAGGGAGGCTTCCATTCCTCACTCCTTCCTCCCACTGCGGACGGGCAGCCACTCCCTCCTGCAGGCGCCCCGGTTGTTCCCCTCCACATGCCGTAGTGCTCACTGGGGGCATTCTGCTTGGTTGTTTCTTGTCTGCCTCGCCCACGAGACTGTGAGCTGGCCTCTGAGTCATCTGCTCGTCCACTCGCTCATTCACTTCCAGGGTGCGCAGCAGCTCTGTGTGCTGGAGGTACAGCGATGGGGGTACTAGACAAAGTCTTACATATGGCTGGTGTGAGAGACAGTGCTAGAGTCAGGAGAGAGGGCTTCCCTTTCATTTACACCTGGACACTTGGCTTCCTCTGTGGGGAATCCCAGTGCTAGAATGTTCCAGCCAGGGCCTTGTTCTAATGACCCACTTTCATAGGATCATGGCAGGGACACCTCTCCCCGCAACACCCTGACATACCCTTATTAGGGCTGCTTTGTTCCTTCTGCTCAAGACGTTACTTCCTGTTAAATTCGGATATGCCTACCAGAGGAGAACACACAGAGCCTCATCCATCATTATGCTGAGTTTTTTCATTGGGATGATTTGTTCCAGCACTCAGTACAGAGCCTGGCACAGAGAAGCACTTGCTGAACAGATAGAGACCAATCCACTCACTCTGTAAATATGGGCGCAAATGCCCACTATGTGTCAAGCACTGGGCTAAGCAGAAAGATGTGGAGATAAACCAGATGCAGTGTTGCTGACCTCAAAGAACACAGGTTGCAGTATGACCCGACTGAGAAGTACCATCTGGGAGGTCACTCCAATTTTCTGAGTATCGGGTATCAGGAAAAGTTATCTACTCAGCTGAATTGGACCAAATGCTAAAACATCTTCAAAGCATAGTCAAATGCAGGGCCGAGTGTGGTGGCTCATGCCTGTAATCCCAGCACTTTTGGAGGCCAAGGAGGGCCGATCACCTGAGGTCAGGAGATCAAGACCATCCTGGCCAACATGGTGAAACCCTATCTCTACTAAAAATACAAAAAATTAGCCAGGCATGGTGGTGGGTGCCTGTAGTCCCAGCTACTCAGGAGGCTGAGGCATGAGAATGGCGTGAACCCAGGAGGCAGAGCTTGCAGTGAGCTGAGATCGCGCCACTGCACTCCAGCCTGAGCAACAGAGTGAAACTCCATCTCAAAAAAAAAAAAAAAATACAAAAATACAAAAATTAGCTGGGTGTGGTGGTGCATGCCTATAATTCCAGCTACTCAGGAGGCTGAGACAGGAGAATCACTTGAACCCAGGAGGTAGAGGTTGTAGTGAGCCGAGATCGAGCCACTGCACTCCAGTCTGGGCAACAGAATGAGACTCCGTCTCAAAAAAAAAAAAAAAAAAAAAGCATAGTCAAATGCATCTAACACAGGTTACACTTTCCCTTAATGGCCCAGAAAGCCCATTAGGATTCTGAAACATGCCAGGGTCCGTGTCAGGAGCAGCTGCCCTCAGGTGTGTCCACCTGTGAGGTCACGCTTATTCCCATTTCACAGATGAGACAACTGAGACTCAGGAAGTTCCCATGGCTAGGAAATGGCAGAGCTGGGGAGCAACCCCAGGCTGGTGTGACCCCACAGTCTATGTTCTTTCTGGACAGCCCAGCTCTCGGTTTCCAAATAGAATGTCCACCTGGTGAGCTTCCACCTCCATCTCATTGGCCAGAAGCAGGTCACAGGGTCGCTCTGGCCGCAGAGGAGTCTGGGAGGTGAGTGCGTTCACTGGGCTGCATGAGCATAACTGGCATTCTTTAGAGAGGAAGAAGGAGAGGGGAGCATGCGTGGGCAACTTTGCTGCATCTGCCTCATTTTCTAAATTTTTTCTATAGACAGGGTCTTGCTACATCGCCCAGGCTGGTCTCAAATGCCTGGCCTCAAGCAATCCTCCCACCTCCGCCTCCCAAAGCAGTGGAATTATAGGCATGAGCCCCTGTGCCTGGCCTCTGCCTCATTTTGGATGATGATGCTTATCACTGCCATAAACGTCATCATTATTATCACGGCCATTACCTGCCTGTCTTCAGCATACTCCCAGACCCAGGCCAGCAGGGCAGCTTCCCCTACCCCTGCCCACCACGCACACAGACCCCACAGGAGGGACCTCCAAATCCCCATCTCAACCACGAGTCACAGGCCACAGGGGCTCCTCGCCAAGCTCTGGGCCGCGACAGCCCAGGAGGGATCCAGGATGTGCCCAGATGGGGTTCCCTGCCCTGCTCCTCCATCAGCCCCAGCCCCAGCAGGGCAGCTATTTTGAGAGCAGCTGGCTGCAGACAGCACCTGGTGATGGAACAGCTCTCACTCAAGTCCACAGACCCTGCCTAACGCCCTCTGCTCTCTCTCTGCTTCCCCCTTGAATTACCTGGCAGCCTTCACTCCTCAGCCTCAAGCCCCCCTCTCTCCACCTCTCTCACCCATTAATTCCTCCCCACTTCCTCTCCTCTCCCTCTCTCCCTCCTCCCCTTTCCTCTCTCTTTTCTCTGTTCTCTTCTCTCTCTCTCTCTCTCCTGCCTGTCAGTTCTAATAAATTCAGTCAACCTTTCCTGAGTCCCTCATATGACCACAGCACCAATGCTAACATGGATTGAGCCTTTACTGTCTGCCAGGCACAAGGCTCTTCCTTTGTAGCATCATCTCACTTAATCATCAAAGCCATGACAAAAGGCAGGAACTATCCCTGCTCCCATTTTACAGATAAGGAAACTGAGGCATAGAGAGGCCAAGTAAATTGCCCAAGATCACAGACCCAGTAACAGCAGGGCAGGGATTCAAACCATGTGTTCTGGCTCCTTACCCTCCAAGTCTACGGCCCACGGCCCCCTCCGAGGCCTGCACTGGGCTCAAGGGGCACCATCCTGAAGGAGGAATTCACATGCAGTGCGGGAGGCAGAGCCACAAACAAGTGCAAGCACCTGGCAGACTGGAATACACAAGAGCATCCCCTCTGGGCCCCCACTGTGCAGGAGGCTGCAGGGCTGGAAGTGGAGGAACTGTTACCAGAAGGTGGTCCAAGCAGGCTGCATTTGGAAAGGTGGAAAGGTGAGGGAGAAGTCCAGGCAGAAGGCACAGCCCAAGGGTGTGAGCAGGTTCAGGCAGGAAAAGATTCACAGGCCAGACCAGGGTGAGGCAGGCGCAGCACTGGCGTGGCCCTGAGAGGAAACCCTTGCACAAATTTTGCACCTTGACGCCAGACATGTTGGCTCATGTCTGTAATCCCAGCACTTTAGGAGGCCGAGGGGGAAGGATCGCTTGAGGCCAGGAGTTTGAGACCAGCCTGGCCAACATGGCAAAATGCTGTCTCTACTAAAAATTAAAAAAAATTAGCCAGGCGTGGTGGTGCACATCTGTATTCCCAGCTACTGGGGAGGGTGAGGTAGGAGAATCACTTGAACCTGGGAGGCGGAAGTTGCAGTGAGCTGAGATCACGCCACTGCACTCCAGCCTGGGTGACAGATCGAGATTCCATGTAAAAAAAATTTTTTTGCACCTTGGGCACCTTGCTCGCCTCACTCATGCTCATGTGGCAATCGAATGAGTGGCAGTTTAATGAGGAATGGCGAGGAAGGTGCGGGGCTGGGCTCAGGAGTGCTGAGAGGGAGAGTGTGGTCCTCAGGCTGAAAAGCAAAAGCCATCTCCATGGCTGCCCAGAGGAGGATGCAGTTTCCAGAGCTGTGAAGGGGGACCCAAAGGCCAGGGCAGGAGCTAGGACCCCGTGAGAAGGGGGCCAAGGACACGTACCCTCACTTTATCCTCCTGCCACTGTCCAATCTCCAATGTTTCCATGGCAAACCCAATGGGAAACAAACAGAGCCCACTGATGCCTCCTGTCAGGGGCAGAGTAGTGGCCTGGAAAGATGTTCATGGACAAATCCCTGAAACCTGTGAACACGGCGCCTTCCATGGCAAAGGTGCAGATGAGATCAAATTAAGATGGGGAGATTATTTGGGGATTATCAGGATGAGCCCAATGTAATCACAGTCATTAAAGAAGGAGGCAGGAGGCAGAGCCAGAGAAAGGAGAGATGGTGACAGGTCCAGAGGGTGGGAGGGAATCGGAGGGTGCTGGCTTTGAAGACGGGCTTAGAGGCCCCGAGCTAAGCAATGTGGCAGCCTCTGGAAGCTGGCAAAGGCGAGGAAACTGATTCTCCCCAGAGCTTCCAGGAAGAACCAGCCCTGCCTGCACTTTCATACTTTGACTGTAGCCCGGTGAGGCTGATTTTGAACTTCTGACCTCCAGAACCGTAAGAGAATAGAAACATAAGAGAATAAATGTGTGCTATTTTAAGCCACTGAGTTTGTGATGTTTTTTTTTTTTTCTTTTTTAGTAGCCACACTTCTCCATCCATGGATGTCGGCCCCCTAGGCCGAAGAGCAGAGAGAGAAGCGCAGACGGAGGAACCCACCACGCAAGCAGGCAGGCAGCAAGTGAGTGGTGTGTCTGGGGGTGGTGGGCCTTCCGCTGGCACTGGAGTATAATATACACGGGTGGCATGGGGTGTCAGGTGGGGCCAGGGGGTGAAGGACAGGACAGCCGGGAAACAACGCCAAGCAGGGGAGCGTGGACTTTCTCCTTGGGCAATGGGGAGCCACGGGAGTTTCCTGAGCAGGGAGTAGCTCGATCAGATTTAGATTCGACCAGATTGGTGAGGAGCTGAAAGGGAACAGGGGAGACTGGAAGGACAGAGGGAGGGACCCGTGGGATGCTGTTGCAACACGCAGGCTGGCCAATGGGAAGGGGCCTCTGAACCGGATCAAGAGGCCCGGCTTGTGGCTTTGGATCTCCTTTAGGCAGTTCTAGCCATGCCAACTCGTCCTGGCCTCACCTTCACACCCATGCCACATTCCACCTCTAGGCCTTTTGTGCTTTTTCCTTCCCTGGCCTGGGACACCCTTGCTGCTCCTCTCCATCGATCCTTCCCAGCCTTCAAGGTTCAGCTGAAGGGCACCTCTTCCAGGGAGCCTTCCCTGATAAGCCACTGAAGCCACAGGGCCTCAGGAATCACCTTGCCCAGTCCTCCTCTGCCCTTCCATCCCTCACCTCTGCCCATATACCCCCACTGCCAGGACACCCACTGCCTGGGTTCCAATCCCACTCACTCCACTTCCCAATATGTGACTTAGCCTGTGCCTGTTTCCACACCTGTAAAATAAGCACAAGGGAATCACCTACTCTATGGGGCTGTGTGAGGGATAATAGGTACTGACATAGAAGAGTACTCAGCACAGCGCCTGTAGAGGTGGTGGGGGGGCACCCAGAGAGCCTGCAAGCATCTGCTGTTCTGGTCCCCAAACCAAGAGCCCATGAGTGCGAGATTGTCCTCCCTGAGCTGAGCCCACCCTTAGCTCACTCCTCCCTCTGGCCCCAGCCCTGCCCCTAGGGCCACCAGCACACATCTAATCCATCTTCCATATAGCATCCTGTAACTCTGATGGAGACAGTGGTCATGTCCCCTGGGCTTTGCAGCCCAGTCCCTTCTCCAGCCTCTCCCAGAGGAAGCTTTCCAGACTCTTCTGCACAAACCCCTTTCCCCGCACATTCCTGCGCAGGGCCCACCTTGGACGCAAGGTCCCTTCACCATACGGTCACTGGGATCTTACTTTTTTTTTTTTTTTTTTTTGACAGAGTTTCACTCTTATTGCCCAGGCTGTAGTGCAATGGTGTGATCTCAGCTCACCGCAACCTCCGCCTCCCGGGTTCAAGCGATTCTCCTGCCTCAGACTCCCGAGTAGCTGGGACTACAGGCATGCGCCACCACACCCGGCTAATTTTGTTTTTTTAGTAAAGACGGGGTTTCTCCATGTTGGTCAGGTTGGTCTTGAACTCCTGACCTCAGGTGATTGGCCCTCCTTGGCCTCACAAAGTGCTGGGATTACAAGTGCGAGCCACCACACCCAGGCAGGATCTTACTTTTTACTGGACTCTGGGGACACTGAGGCAAAGAAGATGCATGCCTGCCTCCAGACCAGCCCCTGCCTTCCTCGGATCCTCTGGAAGCACAAGTTCCACTCTGGCCAACTGGGCCAGGATTAGGGTCAAATGGAGTTTGCATTGCTGCAGTAGAATGCTATACTGTTCTTCCTTATATCCTGTCCTTGAATGGGTTTTCTGGCCTGAATTTATGGCCCCAAGATGACTGTAAGGACATGGAAGGCAGGGTCCGTACCTCCTCCCCTCTCAACCCCTGTAGCACCTGGCATACCTAAGATATTCCAGGCAGTTCAGGGGTCACATACTCCCTAGAACCCCAGAGCCTCAAGGGGCTTCAGGGATCAGCCAGTTCAATGCTCCCATTTCAGAGATGGGTGACCTGAGGTCCAGAGAAATAACGTGGCTGGCCCAAGGCCATTTCCAACATCACTTCCTAAGGGACCTTCTGCATGCTTCCACAGCCCCAGGGGGGCCTACTGATCTGACGCAGGCTTCTTTCTCTAAGCCAAGTCCCTGTTTCTCATTATTTTTTTCACTAACATCCTTTATCACAGGGCCTACTCAAGGGTTCTTTTAAAGTCTAAGTATCATGAGATGATGTTAGGGGAAGTGCTAGGACCCCAGACTCCGCCTACAATTGATTACAAGTGTGTAAAAATGATGTCTCCATGTGAATTTGGACGAGAGAAATGGAAAATTGACAGTAGGCAACTTAAGGAAACTGCTGGGATTCTAGATGATTTTTTTTATTTCTTCCTTTCTTTTCAGGTTCACTTTCACGTTCTTCTCAGGTTCATTTCTATGTTCTGCAATCAATGTATAAGGAAGGTGGGTGCAGCCAACACTGCGTGTGCCCACTCTGCTTTGGGCACCATGCCAGGCCTGCACACTATTTGGTTGCATCTCTACAACAGTCTTGCAAAGTATTAGCATTCCCACTTTTCAGATGGGGAAAATGGGGTTCAGAGATGTTTAGAAAAATTAAATGCCCAACTTCACAGAGTTAGTAAGTGATAGAGGAAGCATTAGAACATAAGACTTCCAATTCCAAGTTTAGTGTTCTTCCCTAAAAGACAGAGTGGGGGTGGAAGGAGTGTTCTTCCCTAAAAGGCAGGGAGGGAGGAAAGGAGGGAAGAAGATAACCTAAGTATGTTACATTAACTAGTTTGTCCCTGCTACACATTGTGTTCAGTATTTGTTGGATGGATGGATGGACATGTGGGTGGATGAATGGATGAATATGTGGGCGGGTGGATGGATGGATGAATATGTGGGTGAGTGGATGGATGGGTGAATGGATTAATATGTGGGTGGATGGATGAATGAATATGTGGGTGGGTGGGTGGGTGGGTGGATGTATGGATAGATGGATGAATATGTGGGTGAATGGATGGATGAATGAATATGTGGGTAGATGGATGGATGGGTGGGTGGTTGGATGGATGAATATGCAGGTAGATGGATGGATGGATGATTGGATGGATAAATATGTGGGTGGGTGGATGGATGGATGAATATTTGGATGGATGGATGAATGGATGGATGAATTTGTGGGTGGATGGGCGGGTGAGTGGATGGATGAATGGATGGATGGATGAATATGTGAGTGGATGGATGGATGGATATGTGGGTGGATGGGTGAATGGATGAATATGTGGATGGATGGATGGATGGATGGATGAATATGTGGGTGGGTGGACGGATGAATGGATGGATGAATATGTGGATGGATGGATGGATGGATGGATGAATATGTGGGTAGATGGATGGATGAATATGTGGGTGGGTGGATGCATGGATGGATGAATGGATGGATGGATGGATGAATATGTGAGTGGATGGATGGATATGTAGATGGATGGATGGATGGATGGATGGATGGATGGATATGTGGGTGGATGGGTGAATGGATGAATATGTGGATGGACGGATGGATGGATGGATGGATGGATGGATGGATGAATATGTGGGTGGGTAGATGGATGAATGGATGGGTGAATGGATGAATATGTGGATGGATGGATGGATGGATGGATGAATATGTGGGTGGGTGGATGGATGGATGGATGGGTGAATATGTGGATGGACGGATGGATGGATGGATGAATATGTGGGTGGATGGATGGATGAATATGTGGGTGGGTGGATGCATGGATGGATGGATGGATGGATGGATGGATGGATGAATATGTGAGTGGATGGATGGATGAATATGTAGATGGATGGATGCATAGATGGATGGATGGATGGATGGATGGATGGATGGATATGTGGATGGATGGATGAATATGTGGATGGATGGATGAATATGTGGATGGATGGATGGATGGATGAATATGTGGGTGGGTGGATGGATGGATGGATGAATGGATGGATAAATATGTGGGTGGGTGAGTGGATGGATGGATGGATGGATAGATGGACGGATGAACGGATGAATAGGTGAGTGGGTGGATGGACGGATGAATATGTGGGTGGGTGGGTGGGTGGGTGGATGAATATGTGGGTGGGTGGGTGGATGGATGGATATGCATGTGGGTGGATGGATGAATGGATGGAAGTCAGACAAGCAGCAGTTCCCAGGCTAAGAGCAGGGTTATTTACACATACCCCTTTGGCATCTGTCTGAAAGGTAGGGATGGGGTTTCCTAAGAGACAATGGTCCGTGCCTGGGTCCTTCTGCCTGGAAGATCTTTACCCTTTCCCTTCCTTGCCCTCGCTTGGTGAATAGGGAGATGAAGAGGACAAGGGGAAACGACAGGCCAAACATTACCACTAACTTGCTGTGTGTCCTGGGACTAGTCACTCCCCTTCTCCTCTGGGCCTGTCTCCCTCACTAAAATGTGAAAAAATAGGACTAGATTGACACTTTCCAACCTGGCTGGTATCAGAATCCTCTGGGAAGCTTGTGAAAATGCAGATGCCCAGGCCTCAGACCCATTAAACCAGCATCAGTTTTTAACAGGCTACCCAGGTGACTCTCACAATTGGTCAGATTTGGAGATAAGGGACTAAAAGGTCCCCAGGGCCTCAGTTGTGACACCCCGACTCATGGCTAGGTATGGCCCTTTCTGTAACCCGTCTTCTTTCCCTCTTTCATCTCCTCTCTGATAGTCAGGAACCTTTCAGTTACAAGGTCAGGAGCCCGACCCACCCTAACTGAAAGGAAATCTATTTGCAGACATACAAAGAAATTCACAAAGCAGAACTGCCTTCAGGCTTAGCTGGATCCAGGGGTTCAAAGATTCTCAAGGCTGTCATTCCATCTCTCAGCTGTTTCCTCAGTGTATCAGTTTCATTCCCACGTAGGCTCTGTCTACATGGCATGATGATGGCTGCTGGCCCACCCAACTCTTGTTATGCCACCCCACAATCCTGTAGAAAGTGAGAGAACCTCTCTCTTTTGGTGTCCATGAATCAAATCTCAAAGACTGATTGGCCCAGCCTGAGTCACCTGCCCACCAGGAGCCAATCCTTAGGCCAGGGGATGGGGCATTCTGATTGGCCAGTCCAGTCACATGACCAAAGAAACCCAGTATGTTCGGGGCACTGCCCATTCCCTAGGCCTAAGCCCTGGTCAATTCCCAGCCATGGGCACTTCCTGTAAGGGGGAGGGGAGGAGAGCCCAGCATCCTCCTGGGGCTGTTCTGCATGCAGGTGTCAACTGATCACCTGCCCAGAAGTCAGAAGTTTGTGGCTGTGTTCAGAGAAATTTCTGGAGGATCCAGGCCAATGGCCTCCTCATGTCCTCTGAAGGAGGTGGCCCTAGTGACGCGAGGCTGAGTCTTGGGACCCCTCTCCATCTGGCTTTGTGAAGTCACCCTTCCATCCTCATCTGCGAACTGACTCTCCCCCTGGCAAAGCTTGGGTTTCTAGGCCCACAGATAAACGTCTTTTCTACCCACCCCATAATCCCAAGGGCACTTTGCCAGCCCCTTCTCATTTGTTTGTGAAGGTCGGGTGGGGATATGATTACAGCCAGGCTGCCTTCCTAGGACAGGGTCCTGACCCAGAATGGCCTGTGGCCCTGCCCCAATGGGTTTGGACATGGGAAGGTGATGCAGGGGCAGAAAGCCAGGGCTGGGGAGAGCTGAGCAGCTCTGCACAAGAGTGAAGGGGGGAATTGAGGGGGAGAGGGCACGAAGCCAGGGAGATGGAAAAAGGCCAGAAGCCCCGGCCCATGAGATGTGCAGGGTGCAGTGGGCGCTGGCAAAGGAGTAGAAACAGCAGGGCCCCCTCATAGAAAACGTGAAGCCCCCAGGTGCCCCTTCTGCCCAGCTTTCAATAAAGCCTTGCACATAAGAGAGGGCTTTGGTGGAAACTGAGGAAGGGGCTGAACTCCAAGCCTGGATGCTGTCACATGTAACAGCGTGTGGAGGTAGTGGCGAGGCCTGGAAGCTGCGGAAGGTCAGAGAAGCAGGAGCATGAAGCCTCTGGGGCCCATGCGGTCTGTGGGTGGGGAGGCTGTTAAGAGCTGGATCCAGGCCGGGGAGGGCAGGGGTCCCAAACACCATCTTGGACCCATCGGGGCTAGCCATTTTCCCTCCATTTTCTTTTTTTCTTTTTTTTTTTTTTTTTTTGAGACTGAGTTTTGCTCTTGTTGCCCAGGCTGGAGTGCAGTGGTGCGATCTCAGTTCACAACCTCTGCTTCCCAGGTTCAAGCGATTCTCCTGCCTCAGCCTCCCGAGTAGCTGGGATTACAGGCATGCACCACCATGCCCAGCTAATTTTTGTATTGTTAGTAGAGATGGGGTTTCTCCATGTTGATCAGGCTGGTCTTGAACTCCCGACCTCAGGTGATCCGCCCGCCTCGGCCTCCCAAAGTGCTGGGATTACAGGCGTGAGCCACCGCGCCCGGCCATTTCCTTCCATTTTCATTCAACTGGGGGAAGCACAGCAAAAAATACCCTCTCCTTTTCCCTCTCAAGCAGACATGCCCGAGAGGTTGCCCAGCAGGCCTGCAGCAGATGCAGGACTAGAACCCAGGCCTCCGCCTCCAAGGCCAAGTTAGGGAGGCTGGCAGGGGGTGCCTACTGGGTCTCCCCCTCCCTCTGCCTGCCCCTCCTGGCCAGGGTTGTGTCCCACTCAGACCCACTGTGCCAAGGCTTCAGGCGACAAGCCCACAGGACAAAGGCTGCAGCAGGAAGACCCGGGAACAAAGCTGCTGCTGTGTAGACCAAGTTCAAAAATAAGCCAGACTCCCCGAGAGTCTGGTCACCATAGCAACGGGGGAGTTGTTCTGCAGAAGCCTCCTCACTGAAAGGCCCGGTGGCCACCACCTTCTTCCTCCCCTCCCTGAGGAATCAAGTCCCACCAGCACCAGGAGGAGCCTCTGGTGTCTTCACACATGCACATGCTGTCCCACCAAGTCCCCATCGAGGCCCCACCGCGGCCCTGAGAGACAGCCAGGGTCATTGTCACTCTGCACACTGGACCCCTGGGGTTCTGAGACAGAGGTCCTCACCAGGGTCACACACAGCTCAGGTCTGTCTGCCTCCAGGTCCAGCAATGCACAGCAAATTGGGAGGCCTGTATTCAAACTCCCATCTCTCTCCCTGCCTCCCAGCCTCCTCCTCATTCCTTTTTGTTTGTTTGAGATGGAGTCTTGCTCTGTCGCCCAGGCTGGAGTGTAGTGGTGCTATCCCAGCTCACTGCAACCTCCACCTCCCGGGTTCAAGCAATTCTCCTGCCTCAGCCTCCTGAGTAACTGGGACTACAGGCACCTGCCACCATACCCAGCTAATTTTTGTATTTTAGTAGAGATGGGGTTTTGCCACGTTGGCCAGGCTGGTCTTGAACTCCTGACCTCAAGTGATCCACCCACCTCGACCTTCCAAAGTGCTGGGATTACAGGCGTGAGCCACCGCGCCCTGCCTCCTCATTCCTCTGTGCCTCAGTTTCCCCCTCCCACCCAAAGCATTGTCGGGGTAAAGATGGGGACAGTTGTGCGTCCTTCCCAGGCTATTAGTGGTGAACAGGCATGATCACCCATGAGCAGGAACTGTGGGACTCTTGTCATAATCTCCTGTCCTCAGTGTTTCATTACAGCAGTGTCCCGTGTGGCATTCACTAATAGTTCCTCCTTGTGGGGTAAAGGTGTTGTCAGACAGGCTGTGGTAGGAATGCCCAAGCTTTCTCATCCCACTTCTGGAGATAGGCCCTTTCCCGCCTGGTCACAAAAGCAGGAAATGATCTGGACCTGACCAATTGATCTTGGCATCTCATCTCTCTGGCCACTGTGATTGGTCCAGGAGATAATGACTGGCCCAAGCACAGCCAATCAGAGAGCTCCCCTGGGACCGATAAATGGATACTGAGAGAAAAAAGCTCTTTCTTGGCAGAGAGGGTGGGGAGTTCAGGTTACTGACTTGGGACTTCCATGGGGCCTTGTCCCACACAGTGTGTAGAAGATGTATCATCAGGGTTCAGTGACAGACAACGGAATCCATTCCAGCTAGTAGGGAAAAAAAGGGCTTTTTTTTTTCAAGCATATTATTACTAAGTGTCTGAGCATCCAGGAAAGCTGCCTAAAACGCTGCTGAACTGGGCTAAGATGCCAGGGCTCCTGCCTCCATCAAGAAGCTGTGGAATTCAGAAGCCACCATTACAACTGCCAGCTCCAGCATTAGGCCTGCACTCTACCACCATCCACACAGCAAAATGGATGCTTGGATGCTCCATGCCCTGCCTCTCTCCCCACGAAACTCAGTTCCAAATTCTAGTCTTGTGCGTTTGCATTCAATGGCAGGATTTCCATGCCATCAGAAACACTAGCTGCAAGAGAGTCTGGAAATGTGGTTAAGTTTCCCAGCCTCTGCAGCACGGGAAGGGATGCCACATGGAATCCCTTGAGTCCATGGGATCTTGGGGCCATTTAGTGGCTGCCCCCGACAGGGCTTGAGGGGAAGGACCTCACCACAGGCTCCAGTCCCCGGCCCAGTGCCTCTGAGGAGGGATGGGGAGGGTGGGGTAGGGGAGAATATTTCCAGCCTGTTGCACCAAATGTGCCCAGCCCTGGGTCCTGCAGATGGAAAAGTAGAAATGAAGCCTTGCTTGGCTGCTTCCCCCTCTCCTGCAGGATCCACCCCCAAGAAGGGGCAGGACGACAGAGTGGGGATATGAGGACAGAAGAGCGACTTACATACACCAACAATGGCAACACGTGGCAACCAATGCCATTAGGCATTCCCAATGAAATGAGAGACCCCCCCAAGGTCCCCAAAGGCAACCTGGGTTAGGAGAGGAGCATTGGACTAAGAGCCGAGGGGTCTGAGTTCTGACCCAGGGGAAGCCCCTAACAGACTGTTTGTGAGCATGCCACATGCCCTCTCTGAGCTGTGGTCAGAGAGGTTGCAGTCAGGGCTGTGATCTCATCTGAAGGCTGGATGGTGGTGTTAAAGATGGTGATGTTATACATGGTCTCATCTATAACATGGATGGTGACTTGATACTGCCTGGATCCTCTGGGGCTCCAAGGGTTGAAGTTCTATCATGCAAAGGGAATCAAGGGGCCAGGCCCAGTGGCTCATACCTATAGTCTCAACACTTAGGAGGTGGAGGCAGGAAGATCACTTTGAGCCCTCAAGCTTGAGGCTAGCCTGGGCAATATAGCAAGACCCTGTCTCTACAAGAAAATTAAGAAATAAGCCAGACATGGTGGTGCATGCCTGTAGTCCCAGCTACTCCAGGAGCTGAGGTGAGAGGATCCCTTGAGCCCACAAGGTTGAGGGTGCAATGGGCCATGACTGCACTACTGCACTCCAGCCTGAGCAACATTGTGAGACCCTGTCTCAAAAAACAAAGAGGATCAAGGATGATGGGACAGAGACAACCTAGGGGGTTCACCTGGGCTCCACCATCTGCCCCCGAGACACCTGCCCCCAGCAACTTTTACCCTCCCAGCTCTCCTGAGTGCCTGATTTCCTGGTCTCCCTCTAGGACCTCCCATCTCTAGCCTCACACAGCGCTGCCTGGCCCCAATCCCCAACCCCCTCCACTCTCCTCCAGCCTCTCACCCACCACCCCCCCGCACACACACACACAGAGCCAGATGAGGCTGGACCAGGCTGGAGTTGCCGAAGGGGCTGAGCAGATGGCCAGGGCCAGGGACTAGATAGTGACTGGGAATTATTCACCTGACTACATGGGCTGGTGTTAAGAGTCTGGGCCCTTGCTTTCCTCCCCAAGGAAGTTGGAGGAGATACTTCCAGACTCCACGCAGCAGCTCTCTGGTGCTTCTCCTCCCTGCTCTGCTCTACTGACAAGGAGCACGTTCTGTGTGGGGGCCGTGAACAGAACCGTCACACAGTACTTGAGCTCCCAGGGTGAGGCGCTTATGTAACTGATGCCTGCCTGCCACCTGTACTCCCCGCTAGACCCCCTGGCTTCATCTCAAAGCACAAGGCCACCCCGGTACCCACACACCAGGCCTCCATGGGGTCCCATCTCTTGAAATATCACAGAGCACTTGTTCTTTCTCACAAGGCTCTTCATGCTGGCGCTGACGTTCTTTCTGGATCTTTCTCCCCCAAGCAGGAAGAAACATGCTTTGTTCTCTGTATTCCCAGTGTCCCGGAAACCTGTGAATGCTTGGTAAATTTAGCTGAATGAACTAAAAGTATCAATAATAATAGAAACCCATAGAGAATGTAACAGGCACTAGTCTAAGAGCTCTGCATACATTCATGCATTTAATGCTCACCTCGCCCTTTATTGTAGGTACGGTCATTATCTCCATGACACAAACGGATGAATCAACAAATGCCACCACGTTCCTTCTGGGGAAAGGCACTGACCCGACAGATCAGGCCCATCACCAGGCATAAAGTGAGAGGGTGCCATGCTGAGTGTCCTCTATTATACCACCAGAAGCAGGCAGGGTGTTTCTGGAAGGAGGGCCCCCTGGAGGAGGAGAGGCACAGAGGGAACTGAAGTCTGGGTCGCTGGAGAAAACAGCCCCTTCAACTCTAAAGGAGTAGCTGGGCCTGAAGCTGGGGGGTTCCAGGAGCCAAGATCCTCAAACTCACCCATGAGTTTGAGTTTGACAGGGATGGCAGTGGGAACCTTAGGGCTGCGTGCTAGAAGCTGATGGGTTCCAGAGACCGAGTCACCCAGAAATCCCATCTAATTCTAAGATTTGATGAGTCCTATATCAGGAGGAGACAAGACCCGAGAAACTATCACTGTGGTCACCTCCAGGGTGGCTGGGGACGGTCAGAGAGAAGGGGGACTGGTTTTACTTTTGTCTTTTCACCCATGCGCTACCCATACAAAAAATAATACACGTGTATATTTGAACTGAATATTTCTAAGAGTCTAGCCTTCTAAGCCTCCAAGATTATTACAATCATTCTGAGATCCAGACTGATTCTCAGAGACTGCTGGCAAAGATTCGGGGGTTGGGCATCCGTGGGTTTGGACCCCGGCTCCGTGCATTTCTGTGCCTCAGTTTCCTGGTGTGTAACCCAGGACGAGGATACCCACTTCCGCTGGAGCATGATAACGATAACTCAGGCATCCCCCAGGATCTGTCACGCAGCAGAGCCTTTGTCCAAACAAAGCCAGTGGTGAATGCCCAGAACCAGAGGATCCTCCAGGCAGCGTCTGGGCTGCTGAGTCTGAGCCAGGGAGTTTCCAGATTCCCAGGGTAGGAGGCCGGGAAGTCCCTGGGAGCGCCTGGAGAGCTGGCCCTGCAGGCCAGGCCGGGTGGGTGCGGGAGGCTGCAGCCCCGGGCCTGGTGCTCTGGCGCCCCCTCATGGACACTGTTCTCCTCGCACCCCTGGGACAGCTGGAGAGGAGTGCCCTCATTCATCAAAAAAATTCTCCTGATTATTCAGGGTTATTTTTTTTAAAAAGACCAAAGCTAGAGACAAGGTAAGAGTCCCCACTGGTCCTTCTGTGTCCTGCATGGAAATACGACTGAAAAAAAAAAAAAAGGCTGGGTACAGTGGCTCACGCCTGTAATCCCAGGACTTTGGGAGGCCGAGGCAGGTGGATCAGGAGGTCAGGAGTTCCAGACCAGACTGGCTAGCATGGTGAAACCCCATCTCTACTAAAAATACAAAACAAAACAAAATTAGCCAGGCATGGTGGCACGCGCCTGTAGTCCCAGCTACTCGGGAGGCTGAGGCAGAAGAATTGCTTGAAACTGGCAGGCGGAGGTTGCAGTGAGCTGAGGTCGCACCACTGCACACTCTAGCCTGGGCGACAGAGCGAGACTCCATCTCAAAAAAAAAAAAAAAAGTCCCCACTGGCTGGTTTTGGGGCTCCAGGCCCAAAACACAGCATTAAGTGTTCAGAAGCTTTTGACACCTTTTGAGACACATAATGATTAACTACAGGCACTCCTGCCCAGCGGGCACCAGGTGCCCACTTCCTGGCAAAGCTCTTGTTATTTCACTGTATCTTCCTATACTCTCACTATACTCAGCCCACACTATTATCAATCCTCTTAACATCTGGGGGAACAGAGACCCAGGAAGATAAACTGAACTCAGGGCACACAGCTGGAAGTGGTGGCATTAGGTGTCACACTCAGGCCATGGACTCCGTCACCCTGTGTAAGGAGCAGTAATTTTCTCTCCCATTCTCTGCAGGCCCCTGAAAGGTACCATGCTCAATACCAGTGAACGCTGTTCAGCCCAACCTGACCACAACTCTTCCAGATGGGCTTTTATTCCCCCCATTTTTAGGGTGACCAACGGGTGTGCCTAGGGCTGAAGGGGCTCCTGGGATGCAAGACTTTCGGTGTTAACACCAGAAAAGCCCGACCCATTTTACAGACACGGAAACTGAGATTTGGAGAGGGTAATATATTCCACAGCTATTGAGCATGGAGCCCAGAAGTCTTGCTCTAGAATGAGGCCTACTGGCTGAGAAGCACTAGGCTGAGCTGGTTCTCTAAGGAAGAACAAAAAATGGCTGGGCACGGTGGCACAGGCCTGCACTTTTTGAGGCTGAGGTGGGCGGATCACCTGAGGCCAGGAGTTTGACACCAGCCTAGCCAACATGGTGAAACCCCATCTCTACTAAAAATACAAAAATTAGCCAGCTACAGTGGCGCGCGCCTGTAGTCCCAGCTACTCGGGAGCCTGGGGCAGGAGAATTGCTTGAACCAGGAGGTGGAGGTTGCAGTGAGCCAAGAGAGCAAGCCACTGCACTCCAGCCTGGGTGACAGAGCAAGACTCCATCTTAAAAAAAAAAGGAAGAACAAAAAACAAGGGCAGGAGGGGTGAGGAGGAATGGCAGGAGAGAATTCTAGAATCTCAGAGCCCGGAACAATCAATCTTGAAATCTTGAAGGCAATAATATCTCCTAAGAAGACGACCCTTGGTGGCTCACCCAGATCCTTCACTTCTGCCTCTGAGACATTGAGTCATTTCCTCAAAGTCTTGTAGCCTCAATTTCTCATCTGTAATTTGGAGATAATAACCTTAGGACCTAGCATTTCAAAAAGATTTGGCCGGGCACGGTGGCTCATGCCTATAATCCCAGAACTTTGGGAGGCCGAGGCAGGTGGATCACCTGAGGTCAGGAGATCAAGACCAGCCTGGCCAACATGGTGAAATCTTGTCTCTACTAAAAATACAAAAATTAGCCAAGCATGGTGGCAGGCACCTGTAATCCCAGCTACTTGGGAGGCTGAGGCAGGAGAATTGCTTGAACCTGGGAGGCGGAGGTTGCAGGGAGCTGAGATCATGATACTACACTCCAGCCTGGGAACAGAGCAAAATTCCGCCTCAAAAAAGAAAAAAAAAAAAAAAAAAAAAAAAAAAGGTCAAAGAAAAGAACTGGGAATACTGGCATGCGCCTGTAGTCCCAGCTACTTGGGAGGTCGAGGCAGTAGGATCGCTTGAGGTCAGGAGTTCAAGGCTGTAGTGCACTGTGACTATGCCTGTGAATAACCAGAGCTGGAGGATTCCAGACCAGACAATACAGAGAAACCCTGTCTCTAAAACAACTAGTAAGTATGAAATAGGTGGTGGTGAGCCCTGAGTAGGAGCCGGGGAGAAGTCTCCCTGACCTGGAAGACCAAGCCCGCCAACAGATGCTGGGTTGCCTCTACCTGACCACGTGCAGAAACAGGGAGCTTACTACCTTACAACACAGCCCTTCTGTTAGAGCAAGCCAATGTGTGTAGGTTTACATACGTCAATAGTAGGTTTTTTACGTATGTAAAAAACTATCTACATATGTAGATAGTTTACATATGGAACACTGAAAAAGCCTTTACCCTGGGCCTGGTGGTGTTCTGAGTGCTTTGGGGCTGTTAACTCCTTTAATCCTGGCTGGTGCAGTGGCTCACACCTGTAATCTAAGAACTTTGGGAGGCCGAGGCAGGAGGATCGATTGAGCCCAGGAGTTCCAGACCAGCATGGGCAACACAGTGAGAACCACCCCCATCTCTAAAAAAATAATAAAATAGGCCAGGTGCAGTGGCTCACACCTGTAATCCCACCACTTTGGGAGGCCAAGGTGGGCAGATCACTTGAGTTCAGGAGTTTGAAACCAGCCTAGCCAACATGGTGAAACCCCATCTCTACTAAAAATACAAAAAATTAGCTGGGTGTGGTGGTGGGCACCTGTAATCCCAGCTACTCAGGAGGCTGAGGCAGGAGAATCGCTTGATCCTGGGAGGCGGAGGTTGCAGTGAGCCGAGATCGCGCCAATGCACTCCAGCCTGGACAACAGAGTGAGACTTGGTCTCAAAAAAAAAAAAAAAAAGAGAGAGAGAGAGCGATGGGGGTCTCACTATGTTGCCCAGGCTAGTCTTGAACTCCTGGCCTCAAGTGATTCTCCTGCCTCAGCCTCCTAAAGTGCTGGGATTACAGGAATGAGCTACCACACCTGGCCCCAAGTCCATGTTCTTAACCACTGTGCTTTACTGCCTCATATTTTTAATAAAAAATGCTTGTTTTTGATCTATAAAAACAAATTAAAACCATTTTAATGTACTCTTTGGCCTCACCATAATGTCTTAAAATAAATATCTACCTTGGTTCATCCAGACTTGACACTCCTAATTAAACATTTGTGGGGGGTGGGGGGCTAGGGAGGGATAACATTAGAAGAAATACCTAATGTAGATGACGGGTTGATGGGTGCAGCAAACCACCATGGCATGTGTATACCCATGTAACAAAACTTTACGTTCTGCACATGTACCCCAAAAACAAGTATAATAAATTAAAAAAGGGAAAAAAATAAAAATAAAAAAATAAAGGCCTTGAAAGCCAAAAAAAAAAAAAATGTGTTAAATACCAAACAGACGTATTCATGTTTAAATACATATGGATAATAGTTACAACACCCAAAAACATAAAACCTTCTTCCATGAGCTGGTCTCTGGAATGCTTAACTTTCGCATTTTAGAAATTCAACATTTTTGTAATTTTGTTGCTTACAGGCAAGAGAATGGGACTTTAGGCTGCTCTTTATAAGCATTCTCTAAATAACATATTTGAAGTATGGGCCATCTTTATTTCCAATAAAGAGAAACCTAAATTGGATATAGCCTTTGCTATGTTTTCCAGCACTGGGTTTGTAAGTCCCTGTGCTCTGTGACTTTGGATCTGGTGGCTGGAAGCTCACAGGTCTGGTGAAGATCGTGTAGTTAGCATGTGTATCCTCCTCAGTGATACCTGCGCTTAGGCTTCCTGTCTGACACCAGTGGCCCACAATGGGTGCAAATTAAGTCATATGTGACTAAGGACAAGCAACATGGTCTTAGTTCCCAGATCAACAGAGGTGGTATCTGTGAACAGAGAGAGAAACCAGGTAAAAGGACTCCATCATGAGCAAGCTTGTCTGCTCTCTCCTTCCCAGACCTGGAACTGGAGAAGGGGTGGAGCGGCTCTCATAGTGGTGAGCGAAGTTGAGAGACCCATGCAGCCAGGAGTAGAGTGGGGCAGGGAACACAGCAGCAGAGGCTCGGCCTCTGCTCACACAAAAGCATGAAAAGGTGAAATCCGAGATGGCAGAGGCTGTGAGGCAGGGAAAACCACAGGCACCCAGCCCTTCCTGGGAGCACCTCCCCGGGGCCAGGCCCAGCTGCTCTGATGTCTACCCCCTCAGTTAATCCTCACAGCCACCCCTGGGTGAAAGGGCTACTGTACTGCTGTGCCCTTTCTACAGATGAAAGGAGGCTGAGGGGTGAAGTGATTTGCTCAGCAGAGAGAAATGTCCGCTGGGTCGCGGCCTGTAGCTGGTGAGGGTAGGGACAGATCTGAGAAGACAAGCCTAAGGGAGCCAGGTCACAGGTGAGTGAAGAGCTCAGCCACCCTGAGTGGCAGCACCAGCTCGGGAATCCAGCTCCCCCCCTTGCCCCACCTCCCTGCCTCTCTAGGTGTCACTGAGGCCTGACTGGAGATTCCACTAAGCCGAGCCCCAACTATTACTCAGCCTGAATGCTCCCCTCTCCTGGCCTCCCTTCAGGCTCTCTCCTCAGCCTTTGCTTTCCCCAACAAGCAGGTGTTTCCCTGGCTCAGGGGCCTCTCTTCATGCTGCTGCCCCGATCTGGAAGGAGACTGGCATGCTCTGAGCACAGCTGCTCCTCCTATGAGCCCTACCCCAACTACCACGGAAAAGCCAGTCGGACCCCCTTTGGCCTCTCAGTCCTGTGCCTGCCAGTCAGGCCACCTACCCCTGGGAACCTACCCCAGGGTCAGTCTCCCCCACCTGACTGGCACCTGCCTCCCCCAGGCCAGGACTGTCTCTGCCCAGCATCCCACTCAGGCCGAGGTCAGGGACTGCCAAGAGAGAATCTGGCAGAAAAGGTGACATGGGTGGAGTTCGGAGCCACCAGGTTTGAAGCCTGCCCTGCACTCCCTCACTGTGACACTTGACTCTCTGAGCCTCAGTTTCTCCACCTGTAAAACAGAGGTGACCACAGCAGCACCACCCACCACAGGGGTGGAGAAAAGGCCACCAGCAAAGTTGCCACTGCAGGGTGAACCTCATGAGAGTTCCACACTCCATGAACAAGCAGGACGGGAGGACCTTGGGCCTGAGATGCACGCGAGTCCCCACCTGAGCAAGATGAAAGGCTAGCAGGAACCGGAGATGCAGCCTTGGATGCAAAACCCACAGCGCGCCCAGTAAGGTTGCCACCCCACCAAGAAAACAAAAGCTGTTCCAGACACTCTCAAAATTATCAGAAAAGAAATGAGCTTTGAACGGGAGTGAGTCAGAGGAAAGCTGATTTAGCTCCTCTCATCTCTCCATTTCCCCGAACAGTATGGAATCAGAAAGGGCTTTGAGCTGCAGGAATCTTCTGCACAAAAATACATTTGTGATTCAACAATGACCAGGCGGATGCACCAAGCTTTCTTGTATTTTTAGAAAAATCAAATAATCTTACTTCAAGTTCGTGTCATTTTTACATGGCAATTACTTTTAAATACCTTATCTAATGTTCCATAGATTTCCAAATTCACGTTTTGCTTGACACTTTGTATTTCTAAATGTATTTTAAATATCAAATATTTTATTTCACTGATTTCTATTTAATTTTATGAATCCTAGCTTTTTTAAAAACACAAAACATACCAACTCAGAGTGACTTTCTGAAATTAGGCAAAGTGACCGAGGCACTTGGCAACACTCCTTCCTCCAGCATCACTGTCACTAGTGCCTTCTGTCATTCAATCCTCACAACTCAGGGTGAGGAATCCCCCCATCTCCAGTTTACTGATAAACTCAGGCACAGAAAAGTGAAATGTCTCGCCCAAGGCCACACAGTTACACGTGGCCCACCAGGAAAGAACTGGCTGGAGTCCTAGTTCCTGCCTGGTGGCCACTACATTCCCCTCACTAACAGCTGCTCACTGACCCTAAGCACAACCCTGTGAAGCAGGTTCTAGTATCAGCCTGCTTACAGATAAGGAAACTAAGGCATGGAGAGGGTCCATGAATCCAGGCAGTCTGACCGCCGCACCACGGCTCGCAGCCCCCCAATAAGTTACTGGGGAACAGGTGAGGCGGATCAAAATCACACACTTTGAGAAGCGCTTCCCCACTCCCTGGTCTCACTGGATTCCCAGCATCAAGGGAGTGGCTTTATGAGCCCCGCTAAACAGATGAAGAAACCGGAGCACTCAAGTCACGTGACTTACCCAGAAGTCTGAGTGGCAGATCCAAGTCAGAAACCCTGGCCAGTCTGCCTCCAGACCCTGTTCCCTCACACTTACCCTGCCATGAGGGCACGATGGAGGTGACAGGTCACCGAGTGCACAAACCCACAGATACCTGAACACACCGTGGCTTTATTATTAACGGATGCCAAAAGCACACTTCCCAGAACCGCGCTAGAGGCGGGCGCCCAGAGGCAGCAGGACACTACAGCTCCTTCCTCTGGGGCAGAAAGGAGGGTGCCTGGGAAGTTCGAGGGCTGCAGTGGGGAGGCAGAGGTCCCAGCAACATTGTCAATGGCAGGCAGCGGCAGGAGGGGCGAGGCGTGGGCGAGTCCATGAGTCCAGTGAGGCGGCGCGACTCACTTGAGGCGGTAGAGAACCTTGCGCTGCATGCGATGCTGGATCTCGCCGCGCCGCAGCATGAGCTGCAGCACCTTGTGGATGGCGTGCTCCGGGTATTTCTGTGGGAGCACATGGCTGGCTAACGGCACGTGCTGCCCGAGGGGACTCCGACAGAGCCCAGACATCCCCAGGCTCACGGGGAACTTTGTACTCAGGCTCCTTTGACCTAAAGGGCCCACACTTCCTGAGTGCCCACTGTGTACCAGACACTGAGGCACACGGAGGCTAAGCCACTTGCTCAAGGTCACAGCAATTAAGAGGTAGAGCTGGGACTTAAGTCCCATCTGACTCTAGAACCGAAGCTCTAAACCTTTCTCTAAGCCTCAGTCTGCGCACCTATAGAATAGACACGATACCACCCATTAAACTGCCCTGAATCAAAATGAGATGATGTACAAGGAGCGGAGACCAGAAACTAGGATTAATCCTGAGATTTTAAAGGTGACAGGTTTTCCAGAGCATCTGGGAAATCCCATCTTCTCTCTATGGGGCCAACAGTACCCTCCTCAGTGAGCCAGAAAGCTCACTCTCATGGCTCTGCCCCTTCCCACTCCATGAAACGCCCGCCAACGGGGAAAGGCACAGACGGGAAGGGCTGCGGGGAACTTGTATGGGGTTTCACCAGAATCCAACCACCTCTGCTCTCCCCTCCCCTTCGTGGGACAGAAAAAATACCCCCATCCCTGCTCCTGATGAAGATGTCCCTAGGGAAGGAATGATGGCTAGAAAAGGTCTGAGAAAGGGACAGTTGTCCATCCTACCCCCGTTCAGGGCCTGTCTGCTGAGTAAGATGCCAGTGCTGAGTGGGTGGGAACCAGCAGAAGACCTGCACCCCGTGCCGGCTCACACCCCCACTCCAAGGCAGGCTCACCTGCTTGGTGAAGTCCTTGATGATGCTGTGCTCAGACACCTGGGAGCCAATGGCAAAGCGGCGCTTGAGCTGCTTCTCGATGCGGCTCAGCATCTCCTGGTCCTCCTGGCTGGTGAAGCCCTCCACCCCTGTGGGCATGGAGAAGTGAGGCAGCCGGGGAGCTGGGACAATGGGAGTTCTTGGACAGAGACAGCCTCTAGCCCAAGGAAGAACAGCCTGAGCCAGGCCCCGAAGAGTAAGTCAGAAAAGGGCACCGAGTGTGCCAGGGTGGTGCAGGCCTGATTGAGGAGACAGGATATGGCACATGTGGGGACACTCCAGGCCAAGCACAAAGTCACAGAGGCAGGAACACACCTGTCTCATTCAAAAAGCAGCCCGGGGCCCAGCGCAGCAGAGACATGGCCAGAGTGTCACTAGGGACCAAGTCCTGCGGGCCCTTGGAGGCCACAGCAGGACTCCTTTTGTTGCTGGAGCAGATAGATTAGAGAGAGAGTTGGAAGGGGCCCATCAGTGACCCAGGAGGGAAGCCAGCCTGCCCTGGACACATCTACGAGGTGCCCTGAGGAGCCCTCGGCAACCAGGAGGCTCGTGACTTCCAATTACTGCCACAGAGGCCTTGGTGTTTCAGCTAAGGAGATGGTGGGCTCATGGTCAAGAAGTCATTGAGAGGGGAGTCTGTGAGGCAAACTCCTACATAGCCCATAAGACCCAACTCAAATTATCACCACTCCATATCACCCCTGCCCTCTGTGCCTGCAGCATCCCAGAGGCCTCCACCTGCAATGTCTCATGTGACAGCAAGTGTCTCCAGGGTAGAGGCTGAGTCTTCACCAAGGGGGACAGGAGGAACAGGCCCCACCCACCCCATTCCTCACCCAAGTGCCTCCCCATTCAAATGCACCAAACCTGCTCCCTCCTGGGGAAACTGACACTTAGCGCTGCCTCCACCTGAGCAGCTCTTCCCCCAAGGAGCCACACTGTCCCCTTCATGCAGCTCCCTGCTTGGCATCACCTCCTTGCAGAGGCCATGCCCACTCACTCCATGGGAAAGAGCACGTCCTCCTTTTCCAACACACCTGGCCCTGCCATCATCTCCCTCACTGCCTTTTTCACTACCTACACTACCTGCATTTGTTTCTCTACTGTCTATCTCTCCCCAACTAGAACGAGAATGAGAACCCAGGAGGGCCGGGACCCTGTGATTGATTGCTCTTATACTCCCAGCACCTAGAACAGTGCCTGGCAAACAGTAACACTAATGAAGTATCTGCTGGGTGAAGGAACAGATTTTCCCCAGCGTAGGTAGCCTGGCTCATGATCGGTGCCTGGGACAGTCTGTTGAAAGGCTGACCGAAACCAGACAGTATGGCTTATGGTGTGGAAAACGCTGGCCTAGGGGCCAGGAGACTTGCATTCCAGCCAAGCGACTGTGATCTTGGGCACCAGGGAAAGGCCCCTTCGAGTGTCAGCTGTCTCATTTCTAACATGGGCAGGACTGACTGCTCACCTGGCTTCCAGGGGGCAGCTGTAAGGCAAAATGCAAGAAATAACTCTGGAAGCACTGAAAATGCTGACAAGCTCTAGGAAGCAGAGCATCAACTGTTGTTCCTAGCCAGTGAGAAGGGTTATCATCAATGACCTGGGTCAAGAGGATTGTGTTCAAGGGTCTGGAGAGAAGCTGCTTCTTCCCATCTTGGAGGAAACAGCGGTGGGGAGAAAGGAGGAGAGGGGTCTTATGGCAAAAAGAAACTCAGAGAAGCTCAGCAAACTCAGAGAAGCAAGACACACACTGCAGGCCCCCAGCAGGCCAGAGCCCTGCCCACAGAGCTCCGAGCCAGGGAACCCAGATCAATTGAGACCATGGCCCCTGCATCTGCTCACCTGACAGGGTACCGGACAAGGCAGCATCCAACGTGGACACTTGGAAGAGCCGCAGGGCCTCCTCCACATCTGCCTCTGTGGCGAAGGGCTGCAGCTTCATCTTGCTGAGGGCTTCCGCGATGCGCACAATGGCCTCCAGCTGCCTGTGGGGGCAACAGCGTGCTCAGGGTAGCCTCGGTCCGCTATTCCCTTCCTCCCCAGCCAGCCCGTTACCAGGGAGGTGCTTGCCCAAAGTGGTAAGACTGTGGTGGAGACTGCTAGGTGTCCCCATAATCCATCTCCCTTTTGATCTTAGTCATAGAACTGCAATTTTTTTTTTTTTTTTTTTTTTTTGAGACAAAGTCTCGCTCTGTGGACCAGGCTGGAATGTAGTGGCATGATCATAGCTCACTGCAGCCTCGAACTCCTGGGCTCCAGTGATCCTTCCACCTCAGCCACCTGAGGAGCTGGGTCTACAGGCATGCACCACAATGCCTGGCTAATTTTTTATTTTTTGTAGAAATGGGAGTCTTGCTATGTTGCCCAGGCTGGTCTCAAACTCCTGGCCTCAAGTAATCCTCCTGCCTCAGCCTCCCAAAGTGCTAGGATCACAATGTAGGCCACTGCACCTAGCTTGGAACCCCAGTTTTTAGTCTGGCACACAGCGATCCACTAAAACACATCCCAGACATCTTTTGTACCAGGTTGTATTTGTGTGACCAATCTATGGCAGTAAGTTGTAAGTCCAAGCATTGTGTGGGACTTCATGAAGTGTCCTTTAAAAGGGAAGCTCTCTTTCCTTCCTGTCCTGCTGCCTGGAGGTGATGGCTGAAGTTCTAGCGGCCATCTCGGACTAAGAGTAAGGGGGAGCTTGAGGAGTCCTCACACCAGTCCCCATACCATCTTCCTCCAGACAGTGCTACAGAAAAGAGAAATGAACTTCCTATTTCTTTAAGCTACTTTATCTGGATTTACCATTACTTATAGCCAAATCCATTTCCAACCAGTCAGTGCTGGAGACAGGATTCAAACCAGGTAAATCCCAACTCTTACCCACTGTATTGTCTACAAAGTCACAAGAATGAACAGAGTTAGGAGCTAAAAGCACTGAGGGCCAGAGAAGGAATGTAATTTCCCTACAGTCACACAGTGGGCTAGAGGCTGGGACCCAAGACTCTTGACTCCCAGGCCTGGGTCCTTCCCTCCCTTCGGGCTTCCTACAATGGGAGAAGCCAGGCCAAATTCAGACAAGAGGGGTCTAGGTTTGCCCGGCCTTAAATCAAGAAACATGGATCATCATTGAGATCAAGGAGGCCATAGTTTATGCTCCAAAGGGACTCTTCCTGCCCAGAGCTACTATGGGCCTGTGCCAAGTGAAAAGCCTGGACCACTGCCCCTGGTTGCCAAGCACACCCTGCTGTGTAAAGCAAGCCCCATCTGCCATGGCCCAGCCCTGCCCGCCTGCTCACCGCACAGTGATGGGGATGCTGGAGCGGCGGTCACTGTCCCTCTCGTGCTGACGGGCCCCGCTCCGCATGATGATGTAGCGGTTCTTCAGTTTCTCTGCAGCCTCTGCTGACAGCCGGGGGCCACACTTCCTGCAGGACAGTGGGGAGAGGCTGGTGTGAGGCCAGGAGGGACTCTTAGGGCACCTACCCTTTCCCCCAGCCCCCTGCCAGCTTACAGACATGCACTTTCCCACCACACCACAGCTGCCCACTCATATGGGCTGGGGGACAACAATCGGAAAAGATTTAAGTGAAATCTGGCTGTGGGCAGCTGCCACAAACATCAACACTGGGGAGAAATATGGGTGCCTCTCTTAAAAAACAGGTGAAGAAAAGCCAGGCACGTCTGCAGGGTGAAAACCGCCTCTTCCCCACTGTTAGACGCTGTGTGGTGTCTTGCCACAAGGTCCCCCATACATGTAATGAACAATGGCACAATCACAGCGGCATGGAGGCCCACTGGGTGGTGGGCTTTGCAGCAGTCTCAAACTCCTCCACCCAACACATCTGAAGACACGACAAGCTGATGACACCCACAGGAGGCTTGGCGGTGACTGCAGTCCAGGGGCTGGGAGCACCTCAGACTCTCCTGGGACGGTAGGTGTGGGGAAGTCTGATCAGCATCTACCCTATCCCATCCCCTCCCCTCTAGCCCCCAGGCCAACTGACAGTCACTGATGTAGGGAAAGCCTTAGCTCAACCATCCTAAGGATGTGGAGACTGAGACCCAGAGGGAGGGAGGGAACTCCCCAAGGCTACCTGGGGACTTAGTGCAGAGGGAAGATTAGAATCCAGGGCTCCCTGACTCACAGCTGTGGGCCCAAGCCTCTCAAGACTGGGCCACACAGAGCTCAGACTTGGATGAAGACCCAGGGACTACCCACTCACCCTGGCAGAGGTGCTGAATCAGGGACCCACCAGCCCCCCACTGGTAGTGCATTCAAAGAGCCCTCAACCCCTGGGTTTTAGCTCCTTCAAAAGATCACCAAAGCGCTGTACGACAAGAATCGAAGCACTGTGGTTAAGAGCACAGCCTCTGGAGGCAAGCAGCTGGGTTCACATCCTGGCTCCACTACCTCTGGCATGTGACCTTGGGCAAGTTACTTAACTTCCTTTGCCTCAGCTTCCCCATCCATAAAGGGAAGGGAATAATAGCACACCTTACCTGGTAGGTTTTGGGGGAGGGTTATAATTTATTCATATAGAAAATACTGAATAGTAATTCAGAATGCCTGGCACAAAGAAAGTAGTGTGTAAGAGTGAGTGTGTGTGTGTGTGTGTGTGTGTACACATATATATATATTTTTTTTTTTTGAGACAGAGTCTCACTCTGTTGCCCAGGCTGAAGTGCAATGGCACGATCTCAGCTCACTGCAATCTCTGCCTCCTGGGTTCAAGCAATTCTCCTGCCTCAGCCTCCTGAGTAGCTGGGACTATAGGTGTGCACCACCACACCCGGCTAATTTTTGTATTTTTAGTAGACATGGGGTTTCGCCACGTTGGCCAGGCTGGTCTCGCACTCCTGACCTCAAGTGATCCACCTGCCTCCGCCTCCCAAAGTGCTGGGATTACAGCGTGAGCCACTGCAACCAGCCAGTACTATGTATATAATTATTATTATTGAAAATCTGTGAGAACAATCAAATTGCAGCTGCGACTCACTGAGTATTTACCCAGGGCAGGGCTATGCCAAGCACTTACTCATCATCTTGTGCAATCCTTACAAAAATCCTAGCAAACATCGATAGGCCTGGGGAAATCAAGGCTCAGAGAGGCCAACCAACTTGCCCAAAGTCATAGAGTGAAGGCAGGTATGACCCAGAGCCCATGTCTACCATGTCTACACTTCACTGCCTCCCTGCATGTCAGACTCGAGGAGGTCTTCAAGACCATCTAAATCCCACCTCCTTGGTGTGGAGGTGGGAAAACTGAAGCCAAGAGCCAGTGAGCTACGCAAGGTTAGAAGGGAGCAGAGCAGATTCAGTAGAGCTGAGAACCTCAGAACAGCAACATCTGGGCTGTTCTTCATGAGGAGGAGCAGGACCAGGGGACTGGGTTCTCTCCCACCCAGGGAAGCTGGGCAACCTCACCCCCGTGGGCCTGCGTCCAGGACTCACACTCGGCAGTAGGCAATAAACTTCTTCAGCTTGGCCAGGTCAATCTCGCCCTCCACAGCCTGTGTCTGTGTCAGTGCGCTCACGTGCAGAGTGATGACATGCTTGGCCAGCATCTGGAGAGCAGAGGGGATAATGGGTCATCCCACAGGCCGTCCCAAGCCTGAGTCCCAGCACTGAGGTGGAACAGCCAGAAAGAGCTGATGGGGCCCTGGCATCAAGGAGCCGGAAAGGGTGCTGAGATCTCAGGCGTGCTCAGCCTGTTTGCTCAGCACCAGGCCCTCGTTCTGATGGGAGCATCTGGATTCTCCTTTAGAGAGAACTTAATGCTCCTTGCTCCTCTGCCCTGGTCCATAAAGGGGTGGGTTCAGCTTGTCCACCCCGACTTGGGGCATGTATCTTGTCCACCCCAACTTGGGCATGGACATAGGATCTACCCAAGCCAATAGGAGTCTATCCTGGGACTTTTGATAGAAGTACTGGAAAAGACGGGGCCTCCTCTTTCCTGGGGGCTGTTAAGCTACAAGCTAACAGGACAAAATCTTATTTTGTCTTTGCCACCACAAGAGGAACAGCTGCCCAAGTACAAAGATTCCACCAAGGGAAGCAGAACAGAAAGGCAGAGACAGTTGTTTGAGAATCCAGATCTACCTGGGCCTTAAGCCGCCGGACTTACCAATTCTATAAACCACTATGTTTTTTTCTTTGAAAAATTTACTAACCAGAACTGAGGTTCTATTACTCATAACCCAATGTCAACTCCTCTGTTTCATATATAAGGGACTGAGGCCCAGGGAGAAACTGATTTAGCCCAAATCACACAGCTTATCACTCACGGCAGAGGCAGAGCAGGCCACAGGACTCCAGACCCTGCTTCAATCCTCTGCAGTCCACAACAACCGCCCTCTCACGTGCTCCCCAATTTCACAGCCTGACAGTCAGGACTTTGCCAGCCAAGGCCCTTGTTCTCCATTCTCCTTCCCACACAATCACAAGCCTGCCTGGAGGCAGGTCCCATGGCCACCAGCCCTGCCCCTGGACGTACCACATCCCTCTCCTCATTGTGCTCATCCTTGACGATGAAGATCATGTCGAAGCGCGACAAGATGGTGGGCATGAAGTCAATGTTGTCCTCCCCCTTCGTCTCATCCCAGCGGCCGAACACTGAGTTGGCAGCAGCCAGGACGGAGCAGCGGGAGTTCAGGGTGGTGGTGATCCCAGCCTAACAGGCGACAGACGACGAAAAGGGGGAGGAGATGGCAAAGATGCCTTCTTATATACACGTTTACACACACACACACACACACACACACACACACACACACACACACACACACACACACACACAGATTCTAGGCCTGGGCAAAGAGAACTTGGTCCCAATCAGGGCAGCCTGAGGACGGTTGGGCCACGCTGGGCTGCTGCAGGCTGGGCTCTCCATGGAGGGCCACTCACCTTGGCGATAGAGATGGTCTGCTGCTCCATGGCTTCGTGGATTGCCACACGGTCATCTTCTCGCATCTAAGTGGGGAAGAGAGAAATATCATCAGACCTACTGAAGTGAGGGAGCAGGGAGCAGTAGAAACAGGAAAACTAACAGCAGCCCTCACTCCTGAATACCAGCTCCACGCAAGGCCAATGGCAGCAACCAGGTCACCTCTAATCATGGGAACAACTGTGTGGGCTTGCCTTTCTTCTCCCCACTCTTCAGATATGGGAACTGAGGCTTGAAGAGGTTAAGCAGCTTCCCACAGTTACTAGAGTGACCGGCCCAGGGATTGAAAACATGTCTCCCAAGTCAGAGGTGATTTCTGCTGGCTGAGCACAGGAAGTCACATACCCTGGTGCCACCCACCTTTTGGCTACTACCCACCTCATCAGACTCACCTTGTCAAACTCGTCAATACAGACGACCCCACCATCGGCCAGGACCATGGCTCCGCCCTCCATGATGAAATTCCGGGACGAAGGGTCCCTCATCACCGAGGCTGTCAGTCCAGCTGCGCTGCTGCCTTTCCCAGACGTGTATACCTGGGGCAGTGGGGTGGTGTCAGGGCCCAATAACAACTCCATGCTTTGACCCCCATAAGACAAAAAGACCCACTGAGGTTGTGATTTGCCCAAGGTCACACATCAAAGCTGGCTGCAGGGTACAGAATAGGACTCAAGGCTCCAACTCAGTGCGTCTCCCTCTGGAAGGGGATGCTGCCCTGGGCCTCGGTGTGCCCAGATGTTCTCCCCGCTGAGGGCATCACATCCATGGCTCACCTAAGCCTCACCACAGCCCTGTGACACAGTCTTGTGAGGCCCAACTCACAGATGAGCAAACTGAGGCCCAGAGAAGAGGAGTTAGCCTCAGGGCTAGGATGAGGACTCCTGACTCCCAGGGAAAGCCTGCCCCCATCGTGAGTCCCTTGTCGTCTCTATATAGACCTACACGCCACATACTGCCATAGAGCCCCTGAAATTGGGAAAGTCCTAACTGAGATGTCCTTAATCGTGCAAAATACGCACGATTTCAAAGACTCAGAGCTCCTAAGAATGTAAAGTATCTCAATAATCTACATATCAAACAACATGTTGAAATGAGATTTTAGATATAGCGAGTTAAACAGAAGTAACTTCACCTGTTTTTCCTTTTTTCTTTCCCCTTCTTCCTTTTAAATTGAAACGGGGTCTTGCTATGTTGCCCAAGCTGGTCTCAAACTCCTGGGCTCAAGTGATCCTCCCACCTCAGCCTCCCAAGTAGCTGGGACTACAGGTATGCACACAACCGCACCCAGCTACTTTTTAATGTGGCTGTTAGACAATCTGAGAAGACATACATGGGTCGCATGTGCAGTTCACTATTTCTACTGGACAGTGCCAGTGTGGCAAATTTGGCACACTTCCTATCTATCCAAAGACCACCATCTCGCCCTATACAACCCCGCCACTCGGATCATGTCAGACCTTCTCTGGCTCTGATCCCCGCAGACCCATTCAACAACGCAGCAGAGGACCCAGCTCATCAGACACTTGGGTTCAATCACATCCTGCTCTAATGCTTACCAGCAGTGAGACCTGGGCCAAGACACTTACCCATTCTGTACCTGAGTTTTCTCACCCCTAACACAGGGGTAATAGTACCTGCCACACAGTTGAGGTGAAGACTAAGTAAATATATGCAAAGTACTTCAAGCAGTGTCTGGCCCTTCATTTTAGCTATTATTATTATTATTATTATTTATTATTATTATTTGAAACATGGTCTCACTCTGTCACCCAGGCTGGAGTGCAGTGGCACAATCTTGGCTCACTGCAACCTCCCCGTTCTGGGCTTAAGTGATCCTCCCACCTCAGCCTCCCAAGCAGCTGGGACCACAGGTGCATATCACGCCTGGCTAGTTATTTTGTATTTTTGGTAAAGACAGGGTTTCACCATGTTGTCCAGGCTGGTCTCAAACTCCTGAGCTCAAGCAATCCGCCCACCTCGGCCTCCCAAAGCGCTGGTATTACAGGGATGAACCACCATGCCCAGCCAGATTTTAGCTATTAATGATAACAATATCATTATTTAGCAAATGGATAAACTGACGCTCAGGGAGATTGGGTGACTTACTCAAAGCCCACAGCCAATTTCTGGCCAGGGTGAGACCCAAACCCCATCCTGACTCTCAGTACAGTGTACTCGCCCCCTGCCCCAAACCTACATACACCTGTTGGCTCCCTTCTTCCTCCCATCTCCTCGGCCATCCTGACCGCAGCCAAGAGAAAGGAGGAAGAGATTCCGGGTGAGCCAGCCCACCACAGGTGTCCTGAGGACCCAGAGGCCCTGCCCTGCAGCCTTCCTCCCTGCAAGCCAAGGTGGCAAAGGTATCCCAGGCCACTCACCCCAATGGGAGAACACTTCTCCACAAACTTCAGAAGCTGGGACTTGGCTGTCCCAGGGTCCCCTAGCATCAGCAGGTTGATGTCTCCTCGGCGAGTAAGTCCATCAGGGAGCCTGGGGGACGAAGGGTAGATGGACAAGGTGAGAATCCATGAGGGCATCGCATGTGACATCCAGTCACCAGATTGGTGGGCTGGCAGTTGACTCCCCCAACTATCATGGGCCTCAGAGTTGGTAAGAAGGTAGTGGCTGTGGCCTGAGACCCATGTTCCTACCCAGCTCTGTAGTTCCCAAACCATGGTAGGTCTTGCCTAGCAATGAGGACAGAGCTTGCCTCCCAGAAGAGGAGGGTTAAAGGAAATGGCTCTTATGGCTGTGCTCGGGTACACCCAGCATCTGAGCAACGTTCCTCCCAGCTTGAAAGAAAAGGACAGAGAGCTGCCTGTGGGCTGTGCACGGTGCGGCAGAACAAGCACCATGACAGCAGGCTCCTGGCTCCCCTGCATGTGCTGGGGAGCAAGTCCCTTTAACTCTCTATGCCTCAATTCCCTCATCTATAAAATGGGCACAACAGCTGCGTTAACAGGTTACTGTGAGGAATGACTGGGCTTCAGACACATAAAGCACTTAGAAGAATGCCTGTGCGGCCGGGTGCGGTGGCTCACGCCTGTAATCCCAGCACTTTGGGAGGCCGAGGCGGGCGGATCACGAGGTCAGGAGATCGAGACCATCCTGGCTAACACGGTGAAACCCTGTCTCTACTAAAAATACAAAAAAAATTAGCTGGGCATGGTGGCAGGCGCCTGTAGTCCCAGCTACTCGGGAGGCTGAGGCAGGAGAATGGTGTGAACCCAAGAGGCGGAGCTTGCAGTGAGCCGAGATCACACCACTGCACTCCAGCCTGGGCAACAGAGTGAGACTGTCTCAAAAAAAAAAAACAAAGAATGGCTGTGCATAGGAAGAACACAGTAAATGGCAGCTGCTAATAATATCCCTGCTACTGACCCCAAGCTCAGTGCTGAGATTTAAGTCCTGGTACCTACACGACCCTAAGCTCAGTGCTCTCCCACTGCACTTGCCAGGCCCCCAGTCTCCCCCTTGCCAGGGTCAGGGCATCGCTGAGACAGGTGCGCAGATCAGCCACTAGCCAGCTGATGGCAAGCTTGGGGGCTGGCAAAGGTGCCTGGCAGACTGAGGGGCCCAGGAAATACAAAAAAGAGTGCCCAGTCCTGATTATCCAGTAATTATCCTACTGTGAGCCCCATCATCAGCCGCCTCCCCAAACCCAAGGGAACTCAAGCCCCTACCTCTTTCGGGAGCCCCCAAAGAGCAGGCAGGCAATGGCCTTCTTCATGTCTGTGCCCCCAAAGATGGAGGGGGCGATGCTCTTGGAGATGACCTCATAGACATTTGGGAGGGCAGCCAGGCGACGGAACTCCTCCTCCTCCTGGGGGCTCACGGCCCCAGCAAAGCTGCGGCCTTGGTAGGCAAAGCAGGCGCATGAGTGAGTACAAGGGAGCTCTTCCAGCCCACTGCCCATCCTGGCACCAGCTCAGGGACCTCCCAGAAGGCAGAGCCCTTAGGGCCCTTAGGGCCAGGACAGCACAACCTATCTGAGTAAACAGAGATCCCAGCTCTCAAGCCCTCAGGAATGGGCCTGGTGTGTTCCAGGGTCCAAAGGGTGAGGGGAAGTGGGGAGAAGGGTTCTGAGCAAACAGAGGGCCAGATGGCATAGGACCTTGGAAACCACTGGAAGGTCTCCCCTTTCAGCCGAGGAGTGATATAGTGTCTTGGTCATGACAGCATCGCTCACTGGCTGCTGCAGAACAGAGAAGGTAGGGCAAGGTGGAGACGAACACTGGGGAGGATCAACGGTGATCCAGGGAGGGCTGACAAGGGCTCAGAGCAGGTGGGGAGGATGAGAAGTGGTCAGATCCTGGACACGTTTTAAAGGTGGAGCTGGCCAGAGTTCCTGAGTGATTAGATGTGGGGGATGAGAGAAAAGAGCACCAAGGGTGACTTGGGGGTTTTTGTCTGAGCAACTGAAAGGGTGAAGATGGGAAGACTGAGAGGAGCCAGTCTGAGGGTGGGGAAAGGGGAGCTTAGCTTCAGCCATGTAAAGTTCGAGATGCCTTTCAGATATGTAAGTGAACATGTCAAATCAGCAGTTGGTTATTAAAGTCTGGAACGTGGGGAGAAGCCCAGGCTAGAAATGGAAATGTGAGAGCTACTTACCTGTCAGTGGTTTTAAAGTTGTAATAATCTAGGTAGTTTGTGTAAATGTGGGGTGGGCCATGGACTGAGCCCTGGGGAAGCCACCCCTCTGAATCAATTCACTGCAGCCAGAGGGCTGAAACAAACCTGAAAACCCTCAGTGGCCCCTGCTGCCCTCAGGTGTAAGCAGGAGCTCCCCATCTCGGCACTCAAGGCCTCTTACACCACCTGGCCCCTCATCCCCTAGACTCCCACTCGGCCCTCCAGCCACTCAGTACCTTGCCCAGGCCGGGGTTTTCACCTGCTCCTGCCATCCCCTCCCGCCTGGAAGTTCTTCCACATCCACCACTCTTCAAAGCCCAGCTCAGATTAACCTCCTCCCAGAAAACCTTCCCCAAGGCCCAGCCCCGACCTCCTCCTTCTCAGACCTCCTTTAGCACCTCCTTGGAACTGCGTGACCCACAACAGCCACCACTTTACCCACATGTCCCCAGCGGTCTCACAGTTTTCTTATTTCTCCAACTAGACACTAGGCGGCTGCCTGCCTGGAACCCTGCGTTTCACTTCTCTTGTATTTCCTGTCACAGAAGTGAAGACTTGGCTTTCAGTAATTCCCCAGTGATTTGACCTCAGTCCTTCTGCCTTAATCCTGCACTTAGGCAAACACCCTCAGCCCAGGAGCCACAGCTAGGACCAATGTGTGGAAGTTCCAGGGATCACTTAATATAAAAATGAACGTTCTAATGATATGAGCAACACAAGGACATCCTGGGCTACCTCATGAAGTAACGAGCTGCCTGTTACCAGAAGTATGCAAGCACAGCCTTTTAGCAGGGCTAAGCCAGGACCCCAAAGCCAACTCACCAGAGCCATCTGTGTCCACCTGGATGCCCAGGACACGGATGTAGGAGCTTCGGATGCCCACGCCCACCCTGTCACGGCCCCTGCTGGTAGTCAGGCCAAACTTCTTGATGGAGTAGATGCCCATGATGGTAACCCTGTTCCCAGGGACGACCTTGTCACACAGGTACCTGAGAGGAGGGTAGAGGAGAAAGGAGAAAAGCTGAGATTCTGACTTGGACAGCAAGTCTCTGATTCCACCCATGCCCAGGACACGCAGGGTCCACTGCAGCATTTTTGCCACAGGCACCACATGCTGAGCTGGCTCCAGCCCCACGGAGCCCAGAGAACGGCCTCTCTCCCCACGTCACTCAGCCCATGCTCAGCTGCTTGGAGGATGGTGTTGCCCACAGTGACAGCCAAACAGAAAGGCAGGTGGTGGCCTGACTCTCGCTGAACTCGCTAACTCATTTGTACGCTGGTTTAGGAGGCTTAGTGCCAGCCCACAGAGCCCTCCAAAAGCCCCATCTCCACGTGTCTGCTGTCAGCTCACTGTGTGGTGCCCTTTAGCCTCTCAGGGCAAGACTTCCTCTTCACGCCCCCCAGCCTCCTTGAGGGGCCACTCGCCCTTTTTGCCTCTTCATGGCTCTGTGAGCTCATTTTGCCTCTGGGTTTTCATTTCCTGTTTTCAAAATGAGATGTTGAAACAGGGAAGTCTCCAAGTCCCCCAGTCAGAGACAGGGTGGTGTGGAGGGACACTTAGTCGCTGTGTGACCTCAACGAAGTCATTGCACCTCTGAGCCTAGGGGGATGACGAAGTGGCCTGCCTCTCATGTTGTGGAGTCAGGTGAGGCAGCAGACATAGAAGTGCTTTATACCATCAGGCATCACAGCTCCAGAAAAGACCATCACCGTCACTCCATGAGCCTCCAACTCCCCTCTTCCCATACCCACTTCGTAAGTTTTCAGGATTCATGAACTGCTTGGAAAATCATACATCCTGATTACGTAATCTGCATGAAGGAATTGTGCTAAACACCACATGCATTTTCAAGCAGCCCTCTGAGAGATTAAGGACTGTCCTTATCCCCATTTTACTGATGAGGAAACTGAAGCTTGACAAAGTCACATAACTTGCCCAGGGAGCAAGAGCCTGACCCCTACATACTCTGTTGCCACTAATGAAGTTAACAGAAGCTACAGATCCGCTCTCCTCAGAACATCTGCATGCAATTTCAGGATATGCAAGCCCAGGTTAGAACCCTAATCAAAGATCTCAAAACCTTCCACCCAGGTTACTATGAGGGGCCCAAGCTCAGTACCCTCTCCCCCTCAGTAGAATCTTTTTTGTTTTCCTTTTTGAGACAGGGTCTCGCTCTGTCACCCAGGCTAGAGTGGAGTGGTGTAATCACAGCTCACTGCAACCTCAACCTTCTGGGGTCAAGTGATTCTCCCACCTCAGCCTCCCAAGTAGCTGGGATTATAGGTGTCTGCCCCAACACCCAGCTAATAAATTTTTTTTTTTTAGATACAGGGTCTCAGTATGTTGCCCAGGCTGGTCTTGAACTCCTGGCCTCAAGCAATCCTCCTGTCTCAGCCGCTCCAAGTGCTGGGATTACAGGCATGAGCCACCGTGGCTGTTCAGCAGGATCTTAACAGAAAGCCTGGGGTACGCTGGGCGCAGTAGCTCACGCCTGTAATCCACGCACTCTGGGAGGCCAAGGCGGGCGGATCATGAGGTCAGGAGATCGAGACCATCCTGGCTAACAAGGTGAAACCTCATCTCTACTAAAAAATACAAAAAATTAGCTGGGCATGGTGGAGGGCGCCTGTAGTCCCAGCTACTCGGGAGGCTGAGGCCGGAGAATGGCATTAACCCAGGAGGTGGAGCTTGCAGTGAGCCGAGATCGCGCCACTGCACTCCAGCCTGGGCTACAGAGCCAGACTCCGTCTCAAAAAAAAAAAGAAAGCCTGGGGTAGGAGGTGGGGTGTCAGGCTGGGAAGAGGCTTTGCCAGCTATTGGTTATCTAGCTGTGCATCCTGGGCCTCTTATCCTAAGAAGAACACAGACTTTGGAAAGCAATGCACATAGGCTGAAAGCCCGGCTCTCCTCCACACAGGAAGTCATTTAATCTCTCCAAGTTACATTTCCTCATCTGCAAAATGGGGCTGACATGCCCCTGCAGATTATGGAAAGACGAGATGAGAGGAACTTATGGAAGCATTAGGCACAGAGCAGGTGCTCTGCAACTGGCCACCTTCTCCACCCTACTCACCCTGCTCCAGATGACCCACTCCCAACACTCGGGTTAGGGCCACAGCTGGGACATCCACCGTCGTAGATGCCCACCTCCCAGCCCGTCTGCCTCACCTGTCGCAGTAGAGCTGCATGTGTCTGGGCATCTCCCCGTGGGGGACTGCATCAGGCAGCTCCTGCAGCTTCAGGGTCTGGAAGTCCACGCATTTGCATTTGTCGGGCATGATGAAGTACGGGTCCAATGGGCATTTGGGGCGCCCAGCCTGATCTCTGTACAAGGTAAGGGAAAAGAGTCACCAAAGCTACCTGGAGAATCCAAAGGCAGGGCTCATTCATCCCAGGAGCCAGCAAGGAGACGTTGCCAGCGGCAATTTATGGGGGTCTCCAGAATAAGCTGGAGATAAGCCAGGCAGGCAACGCTGCCTGGAGGTAAGAAAGGAAGGCAACACTGACGGACCTAGCACTGGATTAAGAGTCAAGGGAACTGCTTGAGGCTGGGTCCTTCCATTAACTTGCTGAGAGGAGGCAGACAGGTCACACTCGGTCTTCTTGCAGGATCATGGTGTCCTCATGGGTGAAGAGCTAGTTCATCAATTCTCTTACTAAAGCCCCACTCAAATCCCAAGATCTTTTCCAGTGGGATTCTAGGCAGTTCTAGACCATTCTGAGGGTCTAAGCCTCTACGTATCCCTAGGTAATTATGTCATTATTCAATAGATATTATAGCAACATAAAGAAGTAAACATCATAGCAAAACCTACTATGTGTCTGACACTATTCCAGGTGCAGGGGGCACAGCACTGAACAAAAAGGTCCCTGCTCTTGTGGAGCCTAAGTTCCTATCAAGGGAGGCTGAAAAGACATACAAGCAAACAATCATATTAAAGAGTGACAGCTACATGCTGTGAAGAAAAGTAAAAAAGTAGGCAGGTGTGGGAGAGACGAGGTACGTGCACACCAAACTGAAGATGAAGGGTTGGGCAAGATGCCCCTGGTAAGGGGACATGTGAAGAGAAGCCTGAAGAAGTGAGGACACAGACTATGGTAGCTTGAGGAACAGCACTCCCAGTAGAGGAAACAGCAAGGTCAAAGGCAGTGAGACTGGGGGTAGTCAGTGTATTCCAGAAACAGGAAGGAGGCAGTGAGGCCGGGCCTGGAGAGAGGAGGGGCAGCGAGGCCTGGGGAAGCCAGGAGCAGATCGTGGTGGGCTGTGCAGGACTTGACTAAGAAGTAAATGACTGGACCACCTGAGTGTCAAGGGACACCTGGCTGCTGGGTGGAAAACAGACTGAGGGGGTGGAGGGTGGACGCGGGGGATCAGGGAGGAGGTAGCGTGCCTCTCCAAGTGAGAGATGTCAACAGCATGGAATGAGGCAGCTGTGCCACAGGTGGATGGGAAGCTGAGGAGGCACCAGCGAAGGAGCCAAGAAAGAGCAGCCAGTGAAGAGGGTGGGGTTCCTTCAGACTGGGGGCAGCAAACATTTTCTAGAAAGGGCCGGAGGATGTGCATTCCAGGTTCTGCCAGCCAAGAGGCCACATACCCTGCCTTTGTAGTGCGAAACCAGCTGTGGGCAATACTTAAATGAACGAACGTGTTCCTGGGCCATAGGGTCAGCAGGCTAGATCTGGCCTAGTGAGCAAACCATAGTTTGCTTCAGAAGATTCCAAGTAGACTCATTACCCTGGACTGCTTTTCCCTCCCAACCCTGGGTTCCCTACAACGCTGTCTGGGTATCCTGGTGAGACAGAAGTCACCAATGTAGAGGGACCCTGTTCATGGTGTCTCAGAGCCACAGGGCATCAGATCTGTGCCAATCCTAAGGGCACACCCCTGCCCAGCCCATCCCAGTGGATCTCTAGAAGCAGCTGCAGGCAGTGCTTGCTACTTGTTCTCATCCTTTCTGATCTTCACTCAGGTCACCTCCCACAGTCCCTCTGGGCCACAGACTCACGTGTTGCACTTCCTGGGCAGGGCATAGCCCTCGAGGCCAGGGCGCATGGCAATGTTGGTGAGGGTGTTGCGGCAGCTGCGGCACTGGATAGAGATGCGGGTGGCCTTGGCACGGACCGCAGAGGCCGCGATGATGATGCCAGGGATCTTCACCAGGTGTGACATCATGTCCGACTGTAATAGAGCCATCGGGAAGCTTGTTGGTTAAGGGGAGCCAGGACGCATCTGAGATATGCCAGTAAATATCCTGGGCAGGAGCCTGGAGGAGGTGGGCACAGAGCTGCAGGGAGGGCCACAGCTCTTCTGTTCCGCTCAAAAAATGCTTCCAGAGCATCCACCCAGTGCCAGGCTATCTGGACCCTGGGGTTCAGAGGAGCCTCAGGCACAGCTCCTGCTTTTAAAGACCTCGCAGCACAATTGGGGGGGGAGGTGGCAGGGCAAGAGATACACTAAGCACATTTCACTACAAAGTGGCAGGTGCCAGGAGAGAGACCTGACCCCAGCTCTGATGGCGACATCCTTGGACCTGTAGAGTACAACACAGAACAAACCTGGGAGGCAGGGGCCCACATTCTAGTTCAAGTTCTGTCAAAACCTGCTGTGTGGTCTTCTGTCTGGGTCACTTCTCTTTGAGCCTCAGTTTCCCCATCTTAATGACTATTCCCACACCGGACAATAAGGCAGTAATATTTTTTCTTTTTTCTTTTTTTTTTTTTGAGACAGAGTCTTGCTGTGTCGCCAAGGCTGGAGTGCAATGGCAGGATCTCGGCTTACTGCAACCTCCGCCTCCCGGGTTCAAGCGATTCTCCTGCCTCAGCCTCCCAAGTAGCTGGGATTACAGGTAACTGCCACCATGTCCAGCTAACTTTTTGTATTTTTAGTAGAGACGGGGTTTCACTATGTTGGCCAGGCTGGTCTCGAACTCTTGACCTCAGGCAATTCACTGGCCTCGGCCTCCCAAAATGCTGGGATTACAGGCATGAGCCACCGCGCCCGGCCGTAATGTTAATTTTTAAGTGTGATGTTATTGTAGCTATGCCTTTAAAAATGACTCTTCAAAGGCTGGGTGCAGTGGATCACGCCTGTAATACCGACACTTTGGAAGGCCGAGGCGGACGGATCACTTGAGATCGGGAGTTCGAGACCAGCCTGGCCAACATGGTGAATCCCCGTCTCTACTAAAAATACAAAAATTAGCCAGGTGTGATGGCATATGCCTGTAATCCCAGCTACTCGGGAGGCTGAGGCCGGAGAATTGCTTGAACCGGGGAAGCAGGGGTTACAGTGAGCTGAGATCATGCCACTGCACTCCATCCTGGGCGACAGAGTCAAACTCCGTCTCAAAAAAAAAGAGATTCATCTTTTAGAGATACATGGAGAAATAGTTCCAGATCAAATTATATGATGTATGGGACTTGTTTCAAAAGAACTCCAGGGCCACAGATGAAACAAGATTTGGCATCTATGGATCACCTGAGGTCAGGAGTTCGAGACCAGCCTGGCCAACATGGTGAAACCCCATCTCTACTAAAAATTAGCCGGGCGTGGTGGTGTGTGCCTGTAATTCCAACCACTTGGGGGGCTGAGGCAGGAGAATCACTTGAACCCATGAGGCGGAAGTTGCAGTGAGCTGAGATCGTGCCACTGCACTCCAGCCTGGGCAACAAGAGCAAAAACTCCATCTCAAAAAAAAAAAAAAAAAAAAATTGGCCTCTAGTTGCTAATTATTAAGCTGGGTGATGAGTACAAGAGGATTCGTTATACGATTCTCTTTATATTCTAATGTTTGAATTATCCATAATAAAAAGTAAAACATAAATTCTCAGCCGATCCACTCCTTCCTATGGCCAGCCCTTGCCCTTCACAAAGCTCCTGAGCCACTAGTGTACAGGACTGGGACAATCTCTCTCCACCTTGTCTCCGTTTCTCAATGCCCTCCTCCGGCTGAACGAGAGAACCAGACATGAGCAGAAGTTTTGCTGGGGCTCTCAAAGAAAGCAGGAAGAGGCTGTGGGAAGCAGAAGCGAGGCTGGGGAGGCGGAATTCAAGACTCCATGCCTGCATCATTACAATAAAGTGACCATCACCACCTCAACCTAGCACCTGGTCAGTCTCAGCATAGTGGATGGAGGGATGCAATGAGGGATCCAATACCACCCATAAGCGTTCTTGCCCGGTATGTGAAATCGAAACACAGTCAGGCCTTTGCATCTAACTTCCAGCTTCCAAAAATCACGGGGGGGAAGGGGTATGTTGTAACCACCCCAAGGAGGCCTTCAGATAAATCTAAAAGGCAGCACATTCTACAGGATAATGGCTCCTGCTTCTTTAGCAAATCAATAATGTATCTGTGAAAGAACTTACACCCAGAGTAAAGGAAGCTGTCCTGGATTAAAAGAGATTTAAACAACAATCCAGTACAATGCCTGGTCCTGGCTGAGACACACGAGCTGTAAGAGTCATGTGAGGTAATTTGGTCAATCTGAATCTAGACTGTATATTCAATGATACTAAGAGATCTTTGATGTTTCAGTTGAGGTGCTAATGAGACTATGTAAGAAAACTTTTTTTTTTCGGGATAAAGTGTCATGTCTGTAATTTATTTTTTATTTTTAGAGACAGGGTCTTGCTCTGTCACCCAGGCTAAAGTGCTGAGAGGCACAATCAGAGCTCACTGTAACCTCAAATTCCTAGGCCCCTTGATCCTCCCACTTCAGCCTTCCAAGTAGCCTGGACTATAGGCATATGCCAGCATACCTAGCTTTGTTTTTTTTGTTTTTTTTTTGTTTTGTTTTTTGGAGAGCCAGGGTCTCAAACTCCCGGTATCAAGCAATCTTCCTCCCTCGGCCTCCCAAAGTGCTAAGATTAGAGGCATGAGCCACTGTGCATGAATTTACTTTAAAATTCTTTAGCAAAAAAGAAAAAGGACAAAATAGGAAACAACACAAAATGTTAATTATTAAATCTGGGTGAAGCTTTATGGGATTCATTATACTACTCTCTGCTTTTGGGTGTGTAATTTTTCATAACAAAAAGCAAAAAACAACAAACGATCCTTTTGTCTCCAGGAGGAGACAGGTTCAGAAAGGTCAAGTGCCTCACTCAAGGCCACACAGCTAGCACTCAGGTCTGGCTGCATCCAAAGCCCTCTGCACCATGCAGCAGCCACTGCCCTCCGACCCACCTTCAGGCTACGAATGCTGGAAGGGCTGGCGTCCGACTTGAGCATGACCTGGATGTCCTGGAGCACCTCCTCCCCAGAAGGCCGGGGCCGGGTCACCTCATCAGCTACCTCCTTGGCAGCTTCCTCCAGCTGGAGAAAGGGAAGGGCACAGGCTATTAGTAACTGGGGCAGAGCAGCCCTGGGAAGCTCAGGGATGGGGTCCCACTCACCAGCTGCAGGTGCTCGGCTGGCTGCTTGTACAAGTAGTCGGCCAGGTCCTCATCAAAGCTGGCCAGATCCTCCATCTCCACCTCAATCCAGTACTCCCCCAGGTTGTAATGCCGCTTGAGTTCATCCCTGGAGTGGGCACATAGCAGGGTGGGGCAGGAAGGGTGCAAAGAAGAGGAAACCAACACTGGCTGAGGTGTGCCTGCACCCCTGAATCTGCCCACACCACAGCCACCATGACCTCACCATTCCTCTTCCCAAACACACATCTAATTCCAGATCATTCCATTATTTAACCCTGCAGAGGCTACTCACTGCTGGCACAGGCATGCCCTAAAGAAAGCTCCATGGAAGGGGTCCACAAGACAGTCAAAGGATGTTTCAACACCCAGGCCAGCGTGCACAAAACAACAAACCAGTTCTGTCACTGAAGGACTCCGCAGAGCCTTTAACTTCTCTTGGAAAAGAACAATGCACACAGCTCAAACTTGGGGCCCAGTGAGGTGGCTCATGCCTGTAATCCCAACACTTTAGGAAGCTGAGGAGGGTGGATTACTTGAGGCCAGGAGTTCAACACCAGCCTGGGCCACATGGCAACACCCAGTCTCTACTAAAAATACGAAGATTAGCCGGGCATGGTAGCATACGCCTGTAGTCCCAGCTACTGAGGCATGAGAATGCCTGAACCCCAGAGGTGGAGGCTGCAGTGACCAGAGATCTCGCCAGGGCACTCCAGCCTGGGCGACAGACTGAGACTCTGTCTCAAAAAAAAAAACCAAAAAGGTACCAGCCTCACCAACATGGAGAAACCCCATCTCTACTAAAAATACAAAAAAAAAAACCTAGCCGGGTGTGGTGGCGGATGCCTGTAATCCTAGCTACTTGGGGGACTGAGGCAGGAGAATCACTTGAACCCGGCAGGCAGCAGTTGCAGTGAGCCAAGATCACGCCACTGTACTCAAACCTGGGTGACAGAGCGAGACTCCATCTCAAAAAAAAAAAAACAAAAAACAAAACAACAAAAAAACTGGAGGCACCAAGGCAGCAGAAAACACATCTGCCTTATCAACCTCTAGTCAGACTGTTTTTTTTTAAATAGAGCCTGGGTTTCACTATGTTGCCCAGCCAGGTCTTGAACTCCTGGGGTCAAATGATCCATTGGCATCAGCCTCCCAAAGCGTCGGAATTACAAGCATGAGCCACTGCGTCCAGCCCAGATGCTTAGCAGAGCATCCCATGTGACTGCTGTGGCAAGAACATATTTGGGGACCACTGACCAACGCACAGGCTGTTCCCCAGCCTCGCAGTATCACAGGCCTGAGCCCCGTCTCCCTTATGTCCAGGAGCCAGTAAAATGGCCAGACTGCTACTGAAAGCCACTTGCTGTGAGGACACCCCACACCTCTACACAAGCAATTGCTCCTACCTAGACAGAAAGCTTTCTACACCTGCAACTCTGACCTTAGCTCAAAGGTCCCCTCAAACTTCAGCCCCCCGGAAAACTTCCCTAAGTCCTTTCACCTTCCTCTGTGGAGGAAATGACCACCGTGGAAGTTATCTGTTGGTCTTCACGACTCACTCCTCTGACTTAGGAGCTTCTCTAGGACAAGAAGCACGTCTTTTCATCTTTGTAGCGCAGTGCCTGGCACACAGGTGGGCAATATCAGCTGCTGCATGAGTAAGTGAAAGCAGGAATGGCTTTACCCATTTCTGGCCTGGTGAGGCCCAGAGACACTGACACCTGGAAGTCACTCAGCTAATAATGGGCCAGTGCTGAACCTGCAACCTCATGTTCTCTGCATTTTAACATTTCAGGGATAGAGGCCGGGCCTATGAGAATTCTCATGATGTCACAGGTCGTACAATCACCTAGAAGCAGGAGCCAGGTCCAGCTTCAGTGCTGCAGCCCAGCACCCAGAACAGTATCTGGCAGGCAGCAGGTGCTCAATCAATGAAGGTGCAAGACTGGTATAAATAAATGAATGAGCGAAGTGAAGTGAATCCTAACTGCCATCTTCACCTTTTACACCTACAGGGAACTTGAGTTTGTAAGGTCTCAGACATGACATGGAAGGATGATAGGAAGCAGATGAACAGGAACAAGATCTGGATAAAGAACTAAACGGTCCAAGTGGCGCTAGCTGGTTGCTGGTGGCCCACTCAACAGGTGACTCACCCAGAAGTTAACTCCAGGTACAGATAAAATACACAAAGCAGGCCGGGCACGGTGGCTCACGCCTGTAATCCCAGCACTTTGGGAGACTGAGGCGGGTGGATCACTTGAGGTCAGGAGTTCGAGAGCAGCCTGGCGAACATGGCGAAACCCCATCTCTACTAAAATTACAAAAAATTATCCGGGCGTGGTGATGGCGGGGGTAGTCCCACCTACTCGGGAGGCTGAGGCACAAGAATCGCTTGAACCCGGGAAGCGGAGGTTGCAGTGAGCCGAGATCGTGCCACTGCACTCCAGCCTGGCGACAGAGCGAGACTCCGTCTCAAAATAATAAACAAATACGTTAATAATAAAATAAAATAAAATAAAGTAAAACAAAATACACAAAGCCTTATACCAAGGCGTGAGGCTGCCGGGATGAGCCCTGTGACCCAGGACCGGCTCTTTCCCCCGTCTGGGCCCATCTGTGCCCTGACTGTCCAGGACTCTAGCAGGCTGGTAGAGGCGTGTGAGCGGCCACACTGGAACTCGAGCCCCCGGCCCCGCAGGAGCCGCACCTGTATTTGAAGGTGAAGCCCGTGCGGTCGGTGCCCACTCGGTACTGCCGCAGGAACTCCTTGAAGCGCCTCTGCAGCTGCGATTTGCGGGCCTGCCCCTCGTCGGCCTGGGCGTCGCCCCCGAAGCTGTCGCTGTAGAAAATGCCAGGATCGTCGAATCCCGACATGACTGCGCCTGGGGTGGGAACAAACGGCCAGAACAGGCTGGGGGCAGCGCCTGGCACCTCCTCCCCTCCGACGCCTGGGTCCCTGCCCTGAGTCCGGAGCAGGGGGACCCCCGGCCGCGCTCCCGGACTCCAACCCCAGTTCCCGAGAAACTCCTGTCCCACTCCAACTACACCCGGAAATCCAGATGCCTGCTGGCTCCCAGTCCCAGTCCCACTCCCACTAGCCTCACCTCTGGTTTTCCGCACTTCACAAACCAGGGGAGACAAGAACCTCCACGCTCAGCCGCCGAGTTTCGCGGGAAAAACAAGAGGCGGTGTTCGGACGCCGCAGCCGCTGCGCTCCCATTGGTTCGCCGGAGCCTCGCGGCCAGCGATTGGACCGTTCTGAGCCCTCCAGCCCCGCCGCCCGGACTGTCTGCCGAAGATGATTGGCTGCAAAGTGCATGACCTCGCCTCCTTCCGGGCTCCATTTTGTGTGCGGAACAATTTGGCGCGAAACTTCTGGCTGGGAAGGAAGTGGCGGCGCAGGACGGGGCGGACGCAAAGATGGCGGAGGGGCGGGCGCGCGGAGGACGCCTTTAGGTGGTTTCTTTTTTATTTTCTTGGTTTTTTTTTTTTTTTCCTGACGCATGGTCTCGTTGTGTTGCCGGGGATGGAGTGCAGTGGCTGGATCACGGCTTACTGTAGCCTCAACCTCTTGGGCTCAAGCAATCCTTCCGCCTCAGCCTCCCTTGTAGCGGGGACCACAGGTGTACGTGATTTTCTTAAAATATTTCATAAAGACGGAGTCTCACCATCTTGCCCAGGTCTCGAAACTCTACTCTCAAGCGACCCGCCTGCCTTGACGTCCCAAAGCACTGGGATTACTGGCGTGAGCTACCCGGCCAGGCCTGCGTGCTTTTCTTAAGCCTTCTTTTAAAGTCCTATGAAAAAAAATGACCCTTTTCATAGCCATAGGGAGAAAAAACTAGAAGTTCAGAAATGATTGGGTCCAGGTGCCCATTTTGCATTGGGAGACTGTGCCCTGTGGAGTATTCGCTTCCCGGTCGTGGGGCCCGTTCTCTGGGCCTGAGGCTCTGAGGAGCCCCTGTCCTCCAGCTGGTGGCAGGACAGGGCGATTACCGCGCGGCTCACCCGCGTCCCCGACCCGGGTTCTCGCACCCTAACACACTGCTTTTATTTGTTTATTTATTTGTTGAGAGGGAGTCTCACTCTGTCCCCCAGGATGGAGTGCAGTGGCTCAATCTCGGCTCACTGCAACTTCTGCCTCCCCGGTTCAAGCGATTCTCCTGCCTCAGCCTCCCAACTAGCTGGGACTACAGGCAGGCGCCACCATGCTCAGCTAATTTTTGTATTTTTAGTGGAGACAGGGTTTCACCATGTTGCCCACACTGGTCTCGAACTTCTGGCCTCAAGTGATCCACTCGCTTCGGCCTCCCAAAGTGCTGGAATTACAGGCGTGAGCCACCATGCCCAGACCGGCCTCATTCTGTTTAACAGCTGCTTAATTTTCTGTAGTATGGTGACAAAGACTCTCCTTGACCAAACTCTAGCCAGGTTCCTCTGGGCTCCCTTCACTTCTAAGCCTCAACCTTGATCTATAGGCACTGTGGCTCATGCCTGTAATCCTAGCACTTCAGGAGACCAAGATGAGAGGATCCCTTGAGTCCAGGAGTTGAGGCCAGCCTGGGCAACATAGCAAGATCCCGCTTCTCTAGAAATTTTTTTATAATTTTTTTTGTTTTGAGACAGAGTCTCACTCTGTTGCCCAGGCTGGAGTGCAGTGTCACGATCTCGGCTCACTGCAACTTCCACCTCCTGGGTTCAAGCAATTCTCCTGCCTCAGCTTCCCAAGTAGCTGGAATTACAGGTGTGTGCCACCACGCCTGGCTAATTTTTTGTATTTTTAGTAGAGACAGGGTTTCACCATGTTGGCCAGCCTTGAACTCCTGACCTCAGGTGATCCACCCGCCTGAGCCTTCCAAGATGCTGGGATTACAGGCATGAGCCACTGCGCCCGGCTTGAAATTTTTTTTTAATTAGCTGGGCATGGTGGAGCACACCTGTTGTCCTAGCTACTCAAGAGGCCAAGGTGGGAGGATGGCCTGAGCCCAGGAGTTTGAGACTGCAGTGAGTTTTGATTGCACCACTGCACTTCAGCCTGAGCGACAGAGCGAGACTCATCTCTAAAAAGAAAAAAAAGACAGTCCAGGCGCCGTGGCTCACACCTGTAATCCCAGCATTTTGGGAGGCTGAGGCGGGAGTTCAAGACCAGCCTGGCCAACATGGTGAAACCCTGTGTCTACTAAAAATACAAAACTTAGCCGGGCGTGGTGGCAGGCGCTTGTAATCCCAGCTACTTGGAAGCCTGAGGCAGGAGAATCGCTTGAACCTGGGAGGCGGAGGTTGCAGTGAGCCGAGATCGTGCCACTACACTCCAGTCTGGGCGACAAGAGTGAAACTTAATCTCAAAAAAAAAAAAAAAGAAAAGAAAAAAAGACTTAAACAAACACTAACAGTTTCTAACAGCTGCTAACATCTCTAAAATGACTCTAGCCAGCCCCCGCTAAGGTGCCTGCCTGAGAAAACTCAAGGCTGCTGGTAAATGTTTACCGTTTATTCCAGGCAACAACCGAGGATGTGACCTCTGTCTCCCAGGCTCTGTGGGAGGCAAAAATTCTAACTTTGATCATTGCCAACTGGCAGACACAGCTAGCCTCACTGCATTTACACTGACTTAACCTTTTGTAATATTTCACTTCCCTGACTCTACTAATCACTTGCCCACCCCTTCCTCCCTCAATCTTCCTTTATTTTTTTTATTTATTTTTTTGAGACAGGGTCTCTGTTGCCAATGCTAGAGTGCGGTGGTGCAATCACAGCTCACTGCAGCCTTGACCTCCCAGGCTCGTGCAATCCTCCCACCTCAACCTCACCACCATGCCCGGCGAATTTATTTATTCATTTGTAGAGATGGGGTTTTACCATATTGCCCAGGCTGGTCAACCTCCCTTTAAAATACCTCTATACAAATTAAAGCTGAGTTCAGTTCATACTGAACTCTCTTCCCTGTTGCAATAATCATTACTGATTAAAATCTGTCCTTACCACTTTTTTTTTTTGAGACGGATTCTCGCTTTATCACCCAGGCTGGAGTGCAGTGGCATAATTTCAGCTCACTGCAACCTCCGTTTCCCAAGTTCAAGCAGTTCTCCTGCCTCAGCCTCCTGGTAGCTGGGATTACAGGCACGCGCCACCATGCCCGGTTAATTTTTGTATTTTTAGTAGAGACAGAGTTTCACCATGTTGGTCAGGCCAGTCTCAAACTCCTGACCTCATGATCTGCCCTCCTCGGCCTCCCAAAGTGCTGGGATTACAGGCATGAGCCACCGTGCCCGGTCGTCCTTACCACTTTAACTAGTGTCTGGCTTTGTTCGACAATTGATAGGAAAAAATTATTCAGCCATTCTCCTATTAGTAAAATTCAAGATAGTTTCTCTCTCTCCCCTCCCCTCTTCCTTCCTTTCTTTGTCAGTACAATGAATATCTATTCCCCTTTCACAAATGAGGAAACTGGGCCCAGGGCAGGAGAGTCCCAGCTGCTATTGGGTTTTTGTTTTGTTTTTTTGAGACAGAGTCTTGCTCTGTTGCTAAGGCTGGAGTGCATTGGTGCGATCTCGGCTCACTGCAACCTCAGCCTCCCGGATTCAAGTGATTCTCCTGCCTCAGCCCCCGGAGTAGCTGGGATTACAGGCATGCGCCACCACTTCCAGCTAATTTTGTGGTTTTAGTAGAGGCAGGTTTTCACTGTGTTGGCCGGGCTGGTCTCAAACTCCTGGCCTCAAGAAATCCGCCTGTCTCAGCCTCCCAAAAGTGTTGGGATTATAGTCGTGAGCCACCGTGCCCAGCTCCAGCTGCTATTTGAATGCCTATGCTTTGCATACGTGACCATACGTGCTCCTGGACCTGGGTGCGCGTTGGACTCTCCTAAGGTACTTTTCAAAAATACTGATTCTAGGCTGGGTGCGGTGGCTCGCGCCTGTAATCCCAGCACTTTGGGAGTCCAAGGCGGGCGGATCACGAGGTCAGGAGATCGAGACCATCCTGGCTAACACGGTGAAACCTGTGACCTCCGTCTCCACTAAAAATACAAAAAATTAGCCGGGCATGGTGGTGGGTGCCTATAGTCCCAGCTACTCAGGAGGCTGAGGCAGGAGAATAGCGTGAACCCGGGAGGCGGAGCTTCCAGTGAGTCAAGATCGCGCCACTGCACTCCAGCCTGGGTGACAGAGCAAGACTCCGTCTCAAAAAAAAAAAAAAAAAAAAAAAAATTCTAGAGCCCCATCCCAGGTGGAGCCCTGGATTCTGTGGTTAAGTATCTCCAAGTAATTCTGATGCCACCATGCACAGACTGGTGTTTGGACACCACTGGATCCTCCCACCAGCTGTGAGAGGTATGTGTATTGTTCTCATTTTACCAGTGAACAAAATGAGCCTTGAAGTGGCATAGTCAGACTAGTGACAAAGGTCTCCTGACTTCCAGTCCTTAGGTACTGGTCCTATAAAGAAACACCTTGGCTGGGCACAGTGGCTCACACCTGTAATCCCAGCACTTTGGGAGGCCGAGGCAGGTGGATCACGAGGTCAGGAGTTCAAGACCAGCCTGGCCAACATGGTAAAACCCTGTCTCTACTAAAACTAAAAAAATTAGCCGAGTGCGGTGTCATGTGCTTATAATCCCAGCTACTTGGGAGGCTGAGGCAGGAGAATTGCTTGAACCTGGGCAGCAGAGGATGCAGCGAGCTGAAATCGCACCACTGCACTCCAGCCTGGGCAACAGAATGAGACTCCATCTCAAAAAAAAAAAAAAAAAAAAAAATACACCTTGGCCAGGCACAGTGACTCACGCCTGTAATCCCAGCACTTTGTGAAGCCAAGGTGGGAGGATCACTTTAGTTCAAGAGTTTGAGACCAGCCTGGGCAACATAGCGAAACCCCATCTCTAAAAAAAAAATACAAAAATTAACTGGGCATGGTGGTGTGCACTTGTAGCCGCAGCTACTCAGGAGGCTGAGGCCAGAGGATGGCTTAAGCCCAAGAGGTGGAGGTTGCAGTGAGCCAAGATCACACCACTGCACTCCAGTGTGGAGGACAAAGCCAGACCCTGTCTCAAAAAAAAAAAAAAAAAAAAAAAAAAAATCTTGTCCCATGCTCTGCCCAGGACACTTTCAGCAAAAGGTTTTTCACTTTCCCAGATTGGGAGGCTACATATTTAGTATTTTCTTGACTTAGGGCCATAGAAAGGGCTTGGGTTTTAGAGCTGGACAGACCTCAGTGAAATCCATCCTGACCCTCAGATAGTGGAAACACCCCCTCAACACAGGGATGACATAGATGAGGTGACTCGACAGTACAAGAATCACAAAACACTGGTCTCCTTCTTTGCATAATAGGTGCTAACTGTGTATGGCGTTGGCATTTCACTTGCATCTTGTTTGCTTCTCAGGACACATAGGTGAGTTAGGTATCACTATATTCATGTCACCAGTGATAAAATGGAGCCTCAGAGAGGTTAAGTGACTAACCTCAAAGTGGTGTAGCAGGAATTTGAACCTAAGAATTTCACTCCAGTCCCTAATAGTCACTGGACAGAAAATACAAATTTTGCCCCAGAATCTGCTCATTTCCACCAAACAGGGCAACCCCATCTTCCATAAAGTCGAGAATTGCATCAAGCAGGGTTCAACACAAATATTCGCCCACCAGCTACTTAAAGCTCACCTCCTGGGCCAGGCACGGTGGCTCACGCCTGTAATCCCAGCACCTTGGGAAGCTGAGGCAGGTGGACCAGCTGAGGTCGGGAGTTCGAGACCAGCCTGGCCAACATGGGGAAACCCCATCTCTACTAAAAATACAAAAATTAGCTGGGCATGGTGATGAACTTCTGTAATCCCAGCTACTCAGGAGGCTGAGGCAGGAGAATTGATTGAACCTGGGAGGTGGAGCTTGCAGTGAACCAAGATCACGCCACTGCACTCCAGCCTGGGTGACAGAGTGAGACTCCATCTCAAAAAAAAAAAAAAAGAAAAGAAAAGCTCACCTTCTGTATTCTCAAACAGACCAGCTCCTGCCAACCCCCTATCACCACTTCTCCTACCGAGCACGCAAGAAACCAGGGAGGAAAAGGTCAGTTCCCCAAGAATAACAAAGCCCATGAAAACTACTTCAAGCTACTATCAGACAATGTTGTTTATTATTTCACACAAAAGTTAGACCAAGGCCACAGTGCCGTTAAACACCTCCCTCCCCACCCACGCATGGCTCAAAAACCACCCCAACCCTGCTATAAAAACAACAGAACACAACAAAAATACTGCATTTGAGGCTGAGCCAGGAACAGAGTGGCTCCAACAAAAATAAGACAAAAACACAAGACACAACATCTTTTCAGGTTTGTGTAAAAATTGCCATGGCCCACGGGGAAAGTGGTCATGGCCGTGTCAACAAGGATACTTGAAACTCAGGGCTTTTGGAGGTTTGAGACAGCTGCCACATTAGGGTGTCTTCCAGGCTCTGCTGCAGGAACTGAGGATGCTGAAGGGCAGGGCTGATCCCTTCGCCCCCTCTGAAGTTTAGGCCATTGCCTGGATGTGCTTTTCGTTGGGGAAGATGCCATAGGCTCCTTCCTCCTTTCCAGAGAGAGGGACACAGTGAGAGGGCTGGAGGCCCTGAAAGCCTTCAGTGCCCACGGTAAGGAAGCCAGCCAAGAGAATTCCCTCTCTAGAAAGAAGGCCTTCCACCGGACAAAGTTCATGGCCCTGGGAGCCAGCATGCCTGCATTCACATGGCATAAAGCCCTACAGCAACTGTCGCCACCAGAAAGCTGAGTGTAAGGACCCATCGGAGAAGCGGAGCCTGGGAGCGGGTGTTGAGTGGGGGCTTCCCTCTGGGAGTCTCCACGGGGGCAGAATCTGAAAGAGAAAATGGGGCAAGGTCATTAACAGGTGGGCGTGCATCAGGGTGTCTGATGTCATAGGAAAGCAAAGCAGAGCGGCCTCAGGGTCTGTGGTACAGTCACTGCCCAACGCCAGGATTCTGCAAGACCACAGACAGGTGTCCCTCTAGCCACTGCTTGAATACCTTCAAAGACGGGCAGCTCACTACTTCTTCAAGCTGTCTGTTCTTCCCTGTGCAGCCAGGCCACATTGTGAAAACATTCTTGGGCCCAGGCGTGGTTTTCAGACTTCTGCCTGCTCCCTGTCCTCTCCTTAAACTTTGCCAGCAATTAGGTCTGAGCTGTAAATCTTCCTCTCAAACTCACACGTTTGCTAAGCATGGTGATGATGGGGCAGGAGCTAGAAAGCAGGAGCTCTGAGGTCAAAATTCAAGTTCAGTCCCATCCCTGGTTATTAAAATGTGATAGGGCCGGGCGCAGTGGCTCACGCCTGTAATCCCAGCACTTTGGGAGGCCAAGGCAGGTGGATCACGAGGTCAGGAGTTCAAGACCAGCCTGGCCAATATGGTGAAACCCCGTCTCTACTAAAAATACAAAAAATTAGCCGGGTATGGTTGCGAGTGCCAGTAATCCCAGCTACTCGGGAGGCTGAGGCAGAGAATTGCTTGAACCCAGGAGGCAGAGGTTGCAGTGAGCCAAGATTGCGCCACTGTACTCCAGCCTGGGCAACAGAGTGAGACTCCATTTCAAAAAAAAAAAAAAAAAAGATTTAAAACATGATAGGCCAGAGCCAACCATGCAACCTGGGTAGATGTGCCACCTGCCTCCTCAGGCACAGAGTGGGTGCTCCCTAGGTCTTTAGAAGCAGGACAGAGTCCAGGGCAGGTCTCTGGAGCCAGACCAGCTGGGTTTCAATCCTAGCCCCGCCCTGGGCTATGAGAAGGGCTTCCCCAGAGAAAACAGGGCCTTAGGTCTGGTGGCCCAGGGCTGCGGTCACAGGAAGTACAAGCAAGCAAGCAAGCAAGCAGGTACACTGTGACATTTACATGTGTGTTGTTCATATTAAAGGCTCCTGCTCCTTCTGATGCATTAGGGGTGCAGTTCTCAAATGTTTTGGTTCCAAAACTCCTTTATACTCAAATGCAACCAAGGATCCAAAAGAGCTTTTGTTTGTGTGAGTATAGCTATCACTATTTACAAAATTAGATATTAAAACTGAGAAATTCTTTTTCTTTTCTTTTCTTTCTTTTTTTTTTTTTTTTGAGATGGAGTCTCGCTGTCGCCCAGGATGGAGTACAGTGGTGCAATCTCGGCTCACTGCAACCTCTGCCTCCCGGACTTAGGAGATTCTCCTGCCTCAGCCTCCCGAGTAGCTGGGATTACAGGTGTGCACCATCACACCCAGCTAATTTTTATATTTTAGTAGAGATGGGGTCTCACCACATTGGCCAGGTTGGTCTCAAACTCCTTACCTCAAGTGATCCCCGTGCCTCAGCCTCCCAAAGTGCTGGGATTACAGGCATGAGCCATCGTGCCCGGCCAAAACTGAGAAATTCTTAACATACAAGAACATACAGGCACACATTCCATGAGCCATCAAATCCATGAGAGAGCATCACATGTCACATAACCTTTGGAAAATGCCAACACACATTCATGAGAAAGTGAAACTCTAATTTTCTCATTTATTTTTGGCTTTTTTAAAAAAAGCCAAAAAAAAAAAAAATCTGGGTGTGGTGGCACGTGCCTATAGTCCCAGTTACTCAGGAGGCTGAGGTGGGAGAATCCCTTGAACCTGGGAGGTTGAAGCTGCAGTGAGCTGTGATTGTGCCACTACACTCCAGACTGGGTGAAAGAGCGAGACCCTGTCTCAAAAAAAAAAAAAAAAAAAAAAAAAGGCCGGGCGCGGTGGCTCACACCTGTAATTACAGCACTTTGGGAGGCCGAGGCGGGCGGATCACAAGGTCAGGAGATCGAGACCATCCTGGCTAACACAGTGAAACCCCGTCTCTACTAAAAATACAAAAAATTAGCCAGGCATGGTGGCGGGCACCTGTAGTCCCAGCTACTCGGGAGGCTGAGGCAGGAGAATGGCGTGAACCTGGGAGGCGGAGCTTGCAGTGAGCCGAGATCATGCCACTGCACTCCAGCCTGGGTGACAGCAAGACTGTCTCAAACGAAAAAAAAAAAACCAAAAAAATAGTAGTAGTGTTATAAAAATGCTTTGTCCTCACAGACCCCGTTGAGGGGATACTAGGATTACCACCTCCCACAGCCAGGGTACCACACTTTGAGAACTGCTTCATTAGGGTGACGTCTCCCTACCCCACCAAATAGCCAAGCCCTCCGGGGTTACAAACCCCTAGCAGAGGGGTCCGTGTGGTCTGGCACAAGTGAGAAAGCCACAAGCCAGGTAGGTTAGGGTGGCACAGGAGGGGAGGCCTAATATAACCTGCCAGGAGGTAGCTAAGCCTTACCTCTTTATTGCTACCCATCCCAAAGCCACACTCCCTCCCTCAGTGTTTTAGGCTTAGTGAGGGTACATTTTGTGGAGCACTTTGGTCTTTTTGGAAGTTTCCAAGATGTTTCAGTACAGCCAGCCTTGATCGTTCTTAGGCACATGAGGGAGGGGCTCACACACAACAAGACTCAGAAGGGACATCTTCCTGTGGTGGGTTCATAGCTGGATACAGGTCCCCAACTCCCTGGCCCACATCAGGGGACCAAAGGCCTAAAAAGGAGTCTAAATTAAGGAGGCAGGAGTTTCCCATGATTTCTGAGGGGTTCTTGTGCACTTCTGAGCCAATAAGCTAGAAGTAGCTGAACCTCACTGGATTTTACGGGTGGGGAAACTGAGGTAGGGAGAAGTCTCATGGCTTGCCCAGAGCCACACGCTGAAGGTTGACCCCAGGTCCTTTTGCCTGCACTCCACTTCTCATACAAAAACACGCAGGTGGCCGGGCACAGTGACTCACGCCTGTAATCTCAGCACTTTGGGAGGCCAAGGTGGGCGGATCACCTGAGGTCAGGAGTTCGAGACCAGCCTGGCCAACATGGTGAAACCCCATCTCTACTAAACATACAAAAAAAAAATTAGCCAGGCATGGTGGTGGGCGCCTGTAATCCCAGCTACTCGGGGGGCTGAGGCAGGATAATTGCTTGAACCCGGGAGGCAGAGGTTGCAGTGAGCTGAGATCGCGCCACTGCACTCCAGCCTGGGTGAGACTCCATCTCAAACAACAACAACAACAAACATTCAGGCTGGCATGGTGGCTCGCGCCTGTAACTGCAGCATGTGGGGAGGCAGAGGCAAGAGGATTGCTTGAAGTCAGGTGTTCAAGACTGGCCTGGGCAATATAGCGAGAACCTGTCCTTACAGGGGCAGTGGGGTGGGGCAGCAGGAAACAACACCCACCACCACCAAACATTCAGAAAACAGAGGAATAGAGATACTACAGTCAGACAGCCAAGTCCCTCCATGTGTAGCCCAGAGGAAGTGCCCCTTCCTGGATGCTCTCACCTTGCACTTTGTTGCTGGCCCGCTGGCGAAGCCCTGGTGCCCGTGAGGGGCTCTGGTCCTTGGTGTCATGGGTCAGCAGCTCCTGCAACTCCTCAAAGAGCTAAAAGACAAAAGACACACATGCCTATCTCAGTGAGAGATGCTACCAGGTCCCAGCTGAAGGTAGGACCTTAAGTTGTGTTAGGAAATACTTTGGAAATAACAAGATGGTAAGAAAAATATTGGCCGGACACGGTGGTGCGCCCCTGTAATCCCAGCACTTTGGGAGGCCAAGATGGGCACATCACGGGTCAGAAGTTTGAGACCAGCCTAGCCAACATAGTGAAACCCCATCTCTAGTAAAGATACAAAAAATTAGCCGGGCGTGGTGGTGCATGCCTGTAATCCCAGCTACTCGGGAGGCTGAGGCAGGAGAAATGCTTGAACCTGGGAAGCTGAGGTTGCAGTGAGCCAAGATCGCCCCATTGCACTCCAGCCCGGGTGACAGGGCGAGACTCTGCAAGAAAGAAAGAAAAGAAAGAAAGAAAGAAAGATAGAAAGAAAGAAAGAAAGAAAGAAAGAAAGAAAGGAAGGAAGGAAGGAAGGAAGGAAGGAAGGAAGGAAGGAAGGAAGGAAGGAAGGAGAAGAAAGAAAGAAAGAAAGAAGAAAGAAAGAAAGAAAGAAAGAAGAAAGAAGAGAGAGAGAGAGAGGAGAGAGAGAGAGAGAGAGAGAGAAAAGAAAGAAAAAGAAAGAAAGAAAGAAAGAAAGAGAGAAAGAAAGAAAGAAAGAAAGAAAATTCATATCCCTTTCATCCACCTTAAGAGATAAGATGTTCCAAGCCCAATTGGCTCCCCTGCCTGCTCTTGCCCTCCCAACCGATAACAATGATCCTGGATTTAGAGTTCACTGTGGCCGCCCATGTCCTTAGCCTGTGTCTCCATGCAAAAGGCTGCGTTGCTTGTTTTGAAATAATATTAAGTGGTATCCTAGTACATGCACTCTTCTGCCGCTGCTTTCTTCTCTTGAGTTTAGATTTGTGAAATTCAGCCTTGGTGAGGTGTGCTGAATGGTATTTGTTAGCCTTGCAGATGAGGAAACTGTAGCTCCTACAGGTTAAGTGCTTTGCCCAAGGACTGATCCAGAGGTCAGGCACTAAGAGCCGTTTTTTTTTGTTTGTTTTTTGTTTTTAATACGGAGTCTCACTCTGTCTCCCAGGCTGGAGTGCAGTGGCGCGATCTCTGCTCACTGCAAGCTCCGCCTCCCGGGTTCACGCCATTCTCCTGCCTCAGCCTCCTGAGTAGCTGGGACTACAGGTGCCCACCACCATGCCCAGCTAATTTTTTTTGTATTTTCTTTTTTTTAGTAGAGATGGGGTTTCACCGTGTTAGTCAGGATGGTCTCGATCTCCTGACTTCGTGATCCACCCGCCTCGGCCTCCCAAAGTGCTGGAATTACAGGCGTGACCCACCACGCCCGGCCAGCCAAGAGCCGTTTTTTTTTGTTTTTGTTTTTGTTTTTTTGGTTTTTGAGACAGAGTCTTGCTCTGTTGCCGTTGCCCAGGCTGGAGTGCAGTAGCATAATCATGGCTTACTGCAGCCTTGACCTCCTGGGCTCAAGCAATCCTCCCACCTCAGCCTCCCAAGTAGCTGGGACTACAGGTGCACGCTACTATGTCTGGCTAATTTTTTCATGTTTTTGTAGAGATGGGGTCTCACTGTGTTGCCAGGGCTGGTCTCAAACTCCTGGGCTCAAGCCATTTTCCTGCTTTGGCCTCCCAAAGTGTTGGTATTATAGGCACGAGCCTGAGAGCCAGTTCTGATTCCAAATCCCTTTTCTTTTAAAAACATTTTTTTCCTTTAAATTTTTTTTTATTTTTTATTTTTGATAGAGACAGGGTCTCACCATGTTGCTCAGGCTGGTCTGAAACTCCTGAGCTCAAGCAATCCGCCCACCTCGGCTTCCCAAAGTGCTGGGATTACAGGCGCGAGCCACTGCACCTGGCCCTTTTCTTTTGCCTACACTTCTCTGAAAGACACAGATTTTCTTCCTCCAAGACGGACTGGATTTTCTGAAGGGGGAGGGTGGAAGGGAAAGGCCTTGTTCCGTAACAGGGGCCAGGACCAGAATCTTCTGCAATCCACGGCTGGGAGTAGGGAGCCAGGAGGGCATGACCCCGAGCCCCAGGCCCCATGGCACCTCCAGGGGGTGGCAGAGAGAGAAGGCTCTATGACATCTGGTTAGAAGGAGCCCCTCACCCCTCCACCTCTGCCCAAGAATTCATCCTTCCAGGCTTTGCGCAAACCCCACCTTCCCCCTGGATTTGAGACACTTGTAGAAAGAGGTAAACCTCTCTGGCTAGGCTGAGAGTCCCTGGAAGGCAGAGGCCACCTGTAACCCTGGGAGTGCCAACCTGGCTATACACTAGTGCACACACAACTTATACATTGCCACAGACTGTTGTCACAGAGAGCTACAACTGATTCTCATGTCCCATTATGACAGTAGTGAATGTTTGAGGGCTTCCTCTGTGCCAGACACTGCTGTGGGGACTTTACTGCTGTAAATTCACTCAAGCCTTATAAGTCTAAGATATAGGTACCATTATTATCCCTATTTTACAGATAGGGAAACTGAGGTACAGAGAGATGAAGGCATTTGCCCAAGATCACCCAGCTAGTAAGTGGCAGTGCTGGAACTCTGGTTCCCTGTGTTAACCATGACCTATAGCACCCTCCCCTACAATGAGAAGGGTCCCTTGGAGGAACAACGGGGGGAGGCAGAGGCTGCCCCAGGCTGCCCGACCCTCACCTGGATGTTGAGCAGGAACGCAGTCTTGGCCTCTTCTATCACCCTCTGCCTGACTGCGGGAGTCATCTCCAGGGAGTTCATGCGGGAGCGGTAGAGCTGCTTGAACTTGGTGGCACTGGCAATGTTGGGGAAGGTGAAGAAGGCCAGGCCCTCGCCAGAGCTGGGCAGGTCCAGGGCTTTCTGGGCAATCTTTTTGAGCACCTGGCCCCCAGACAGGTCACCCAGGTAGCGGGTGTAGGCGTGGGCCACCAGCAGCTCGGGCTCTGTGCGCCCCACCTCGTGGAGCCGCTTCACATAGCGCTGCATGGCTGGTGTGTAGGGGATGACCTCCTGCCAGCGGGGCCCGTACCAGAAGGCCAGGTCCTGCTCCAGGGCAGCCTTGCGGTGCAGCTCTTCTGGGAAGTAGACAGGGGCGAAGACTGGGCTCTCCTTGTTGCGCTCAATCTCCTCCTCCAGGGCCACATAGATGTGGTACAGGGAGGCCATCACCAGCTGAAAGCAGAGTGAGCAGGTCAGGCCGCCAGCCACATAGAAGACCCCCACCTCTGTCCGTCCCGTCCACTACTGCCTTTGGAAAGGCCCTCCTCACTTCGCAGCTGGGCTCTGACTCCTTCTGCCACCCCTCGCTACAATCCTCTTCACACAGCAGCCAGAGGGGTTTTTACAAGAGGAAAAGACGATCATGCACTTTCTCAGCCTAAAAACCTTTTACCCCACTGGGCAAAACAAGCAGCCTAATTGAATCCTTATATAAAGATCTAACAAACTGGCCCAGTGTGGTGGCTCAAACCCCTGTAATCCCTGCACTTTGGGAGGCTAAGGCTGGAGGATTGCTTAAAGCCAGGAGTCTGAGACCAGCCTGGGCAACATAGCCCAAAACCCACCTCTACAAAAAATTATTTTAAAAAACTAGCTGGCTGGGGCCAGGTGCGGTGGCTCACGCCTGTAATCCCAGCACTTTGGGAGGCCGAGGCGGGAGGATCACAAGGTCAGGACATCAAGACCATCCTGGCTAACAAGGTGAAACCCCGTCTCTATTAAAAATACAAAAAAATTAGCCGGGCGTGGTGGCGGGCGCCTGTAGTTCCAGCTACTCAGGAGGCTGAGGCAGGAGAATGGCGTGAACCCGGGAGGTGGAGCTTGCAGTGAGCTGAGATCTCGCCACTGCACTCCAGCCTGGGCAACACAGCGAAATTCTGTCTCAAAAAAATAAATAAAAATAAATAAATAAATAAATAAACTAGCCAGCTGGACGCGGTGGCTCACGCCTGTAATCCCAGCACTTTGGGAGGCTGAGGCAGGCGGATCACGAGATCAGGAGTTCGAGACCAGCCTGGCCAAGAGACCAGCCTGGGCAATATGGTGAAACCCTATCTCTACTAAAAACACAAAAATTGGCCAGGCATGGTGGCAGGCACCTATAATCCCAGCTACTCGGGAGGCTGAGTCAGGAGAATTGCTTGAACCCAGGAGGCAGTGGTTGCAGTGAGCCGAGATCACGCCATTGCGCTCCAGCCTGGGCGACAGAGCAAGACTTTGACTCAGAAAAAAAAAAAAAAAAAAAAAAGCCAGGTATGGCTGTGGGGGTGCATGCCTATAGTCCCAGCTACTCCAGAGGCGGAGGCAGGGGTATCACTTGAGCCCAGGATTTCAAGGTTGCAGTGAGCTGTGATCATATCACTGTACTCCAGCTTGGGGAACAGAGTGAGCAAGACCCTGTCTCAGAAAAAAAAAAAAAAAAAATCCAACAAAGGAATTGCTATTCCCATTTTACAGAAAAGGAAACTAAGGCTCAGAGAGGGTATGAGACATGGAGGTTGCACAGCTAGTAAGAAATGAAACTAGATTGAAGACCGGGCATTGCCAGGGACCCACCATGGCTCAGGAGAGGGGAACAGCTGAAATGAAAGTGCTTAAAGGAGATTGGCCATGTGCTTCTGGCTTTTGACCTCTGCGTAACCAACTACAGGGCACAATTCTCCTTCCTGGAGGCCTATTCTGAACCCCACCACCTCTGCATGCTGGGCTGAGGCAACAGGTCTTGAGTGTACCTTGGCTTGGGGCACTAACTCCCGTTACACATTAATACGCCCGTTTAAATTTGAAGGAGAACAAAGTTAAGACATTTAGGTTGGAGTTTCTGAGTTATTTCTGAGCCACAAACATTCAAAGCAGCTCTATTCCTTGAGGGGACAGAAAGCCAGGCAGTCTGGTACAAAAGAGCCTGGGTTTTTGAGTGTGACGGACCTGGTTCTTACCCAACTCTGCCAGTCCTTAACTGTGTGACCATGGGTGAGCCACTTGCTTTCTCTGGTCCCAGCTTCCTATCCTATCCTAGAGCAGATGATCTGAGGTCCGTGTGACTGTGCTAGCCAACTGTGCTAGTCAGTTCCCTCACCTGCCACATACTAGATGGGGCTGGTGTGAGGATTAAGTGAGAGGATCTGGGCCAGCACAGAGGGCAGCCTGGCACTTAGCGCTCACATGAGAAGGGCTGTGATAAGTGCCACGTCCACCAGCTTAATGTAAGTGAGCACTGGATTCTCTCATGGATCTTGGCGCCTCCTTAGAACCCTGTGACTTAGAGGCAAAATCCAAAGTCTAAGCTGGCTGGGGATGGGATATTCCAGCATTCACCTCCCTGCACCCACTGTCTCCAGTCACACTGCAGCAACTGGGTGTACCTCATCTTTTTAAGGGAGAGGGGAGGAGGATGAGGAAGACCCATTACAGGCCCAAGGACCCCACCCAGCCTGGAACCACAGATTAAATCTCTCCTCATTAAAGCATGTCTCGGCCGGGTGGTGGCTCACACCTCTAATCCCAGCACTTTGGGAGACCAAGACGGGTGGATCATCTGAGGTCAGGAGTTCGAGACCAGCCTGGCCAACATGGTAAAACCCTGTCTCTACTAAAAAAATACAAAAATTGGCCAGGTGTGGTGGTGGGCACCTGTAGTCCCAGCTACTTGGGAGGCTGAGGCAGGAGAATCGCTTGAACTTAGGATGCGGAGGTTTCAGGGCACCGAGATCTTGCCATTGCACTCCAGCCCGGACAACAGAGTGAGACTCTGTCTCAGATAAAATAAAATAAATAAAGCATGTCTCATGTTGGAAGTAGGGGGTGGCAGAGGGTGCAGATTGCAAAAGGGACTGGGATGAAGGTGGTGGGATATAGCTCCCTACTCCCCACCCCCACACCCTCTGTTCAACCTGAACAAGCTCTTCCCCACGCTGATGTTTTAACACCCAGTATCTTCCCGGTTCTTCATCAAGTGCTTTCCTTCTATTTGCATGAATTTCACAACAGTGCTGGGAAACAGCAAAATCAGTACCTGGCATATAGTGGGTGCTTAAGAAAACCCTGCTGTTGAAATACTCTTTTACAGATGGGGAAAACGTGGCTTAGGGAGATTAGATGAGGCACCCTCAGTCTCACTGTTAGAAAAGGGTTCTGTTAAGACTCCAACCTATATTATTCCTTATCTTCAGAGGCAAATTCGAGTTAGATCAGGAGTACAAGCTCTGAAATACAAGGAGTACAAGGCTGAAATCGGTCTTGGTTGATTTCAGCCTTTTCCACTTACTGGCTGTGTGACCTTCTGTTAGTCACTGAACCTCTCTGAGCCTTCCAGTCCTCATCTTTCTCGTCAGGGTTGAAGCACAGATTAGAAACCACGTGTACAAAATGCCCAACATGGAACCGGTGCTCAGTCAACGGCACTGCTGCCCCAGCCCCTCCACAACATTACAGAGCAGGCTGAACTTGCTGTGTGACCTTGGGTAACTCACCTTCCCTCTCTGAGCCTCAGTGTCATCATTTTTAAGATGATTCTATTGGACATGCCCATCTGGTCCCTCAGCATCCCCACTTAAACCACTGGTCTGAGCCTTGGGTCCACCCACACCTGCCACACCCTCCACCAGGGCTAGTCCCACCAAGCCACATACCTTGAAGCCGTCTCGGGTCACCTGGCCCTTCTGAAAGTTCCTCATGAACTCAGCATTCTCTGCCTGGGTGTGCACCTCCTTGGTGGCCTCCTTCAGGGCCTCTGACAAATCCTGGGGCATGCTGAGGAGGAAATGGGAAAGGTGAACACAAAGCTGGCTGGGGGTGGGGTCCTTCCCAACTGCTGAGCCTCCCACCTGTGGGCAGGCCTTCAAGAGACTCCCATCCTCATTCAGGCCACGTTCTCAATCGCTTTAAGATGCAGCCTTGTGGCTGGGCACGGTGGCTCACGCCTGTAATCCCAGCGCTTTGGGAGGCCAAGGCAGGTGGATCACCTGAGGTCAGGAGTTCGAGACCAGCCTGGCAAACATGGTGAAACCCCGTCTCTACTAAAAATACAAAAATTAGCCGGGCATGGTGGCAGGTGCCTGTAATCCCAGCAATTATGCCTGTAATTGCTTGAATCCCGGAGGCAGAGGTTGCAGTGAGCTGAGATCACACCACTGCACTCCAGACTTGGTGACAGAGAGACTCCATCTCAAAAAAAGAAAAAAAAAGAAAAAAAGGGCCAGGCATGGTGGCTCACGCCTGTAATCCTAGCACTTTGGGAGGCTGAGGCGGGCAGATCACCTGAGGCCAGGAGTTTGAGCCCAGCCTGGCCAACATGGTGAAACCCTATCTCTACTAAAAATACAAAAAAAAAAAAAAAAATAGCCGGGCATGGTAGTGGGCGCCTGTAATCCCAACTACTTGGGAGGCTGAGGCAGGAGAATCGCTTGAACCCAGGAGGCAGAGGTTGCAGTGAGCCGAGATCGCGCCACTGCACTCCAGCCTGGGCAACAGAGCAACACTCCATCTCAAAAAAAGAAAAGCAAAAAAGCAAAAAAACAAAAAAACAAAAAACAAAAAACAAATTCAGGCTGGGCATGGTGGCTCTCGCAGCTTTGTAAACACTCTTCAGTCATTAAAACACTAAATAATACAGTCCCCCAAACCAAGGGGGAAATCCTGGTACAGGTAGTTCGCAGTGGAGAGGAGGAGGAGGTACAGCATAACCCAGGAAGAAGCAGCAGCCCCATGAACCGGCATCTCCAAGTTTGTAATTGCTTTGATTGGCTTTTAGACCCAATATTTAATTCAGTTATTTTGTTAAAGTTCCAGATGCAAATCTCATGACCCCCTATCATGTTATGCTCATCATGAAGGCGTCAGGGTTAAAAAGCCTGAGAAAGTCTGCTTTAGTCAAAGAAAAAGTCTTTCTGGGAGTATTTCTGTCATGGGTCCGTATCCCTGCCTCCCCACAGAATTGTCATTTTTCCCTTTTCTCCTGCCCTGCTTCCCTGTTCTACAACACAGCTGGTCAAAGTCTCAGGAGAAATGGCACATGTCTGTAAGTCCCAGCTACTCTGGAGGCTGAGGTGGGAGGATGCTTAAGCCCAGGAGTTAAAAAAAAAAATACTAACAAATTATTGAAAGAAGGGAATGAGTGAGACCTGGAGGTGGGCAGACCAAGGTTCAAGGCCCAGTTCTGACACCAGCTAACTGAGCACTCTTGGGCATGTCGCCTCCCTGAACTGGGCTATCTGTGAGACATGGAACACCGCAGCCAGGGTGATGTCTGGCTCAGGTCCTCCGTAGCTAGTGAGGGACAGATGCCACCAAGAGAACCAAGCATGCTCCCCCAGGCTGGCAGAGCCCCAGAGATCTAGATTCAGCAGAGAGCAACTCCAAACACACCTCGAAAGTAGGATTAAAAAAAAAATTGGCTACCTCAAAGACTGGATACTCTAGGGACACTCCCATCTTGGTCACCAACCGCATACCAGGGTGCCAGGCATGTAAATTACCGTTCCTCCCTCCAACTACCCTACGGGCACAGGCAGGATCAGAACCCCGCACCTCCTGACTCCAGAGCCCAAGTTTCTGGCTCCTGGGCTCTGTCGCTGTGTGGCAGTGTCCCGGGGTGGGGCTAGGACGCAAGCAGGGTTGGGAGAGAAAGGCGCCCGTCCCGCGTCCCGCGCCCCGCGCTTGCCTGTCGGGTTGCGGACGCTCCATCCGGCCGGTGCTGGGCTCGTTCGTGCTGGCTCCGCGGGCGGCGGCTGCGCTGAGGACGCTCGAGAGGAGGCAGGCGTTGACTGCCGGAGCCGCGGCCGGTCACATTTATGCTCGGCGGGTCACGTGGGCCAGGCGGAACAGCTGATGCCCACTTTCTGGCCGGGCGTTGCAACACCCGCAGGGGCCCGCGCCCAGCCCGCCCCGGGCCAGTGTGGGGTGGAGAGGAGCAGTCATATGACCCTTGGGAAACAAAGTCTGGCCATAGGACTTTTAGAGAAAACACACACACACACACACACACACACACATACACACACACACACACACACACACACACACAAAACCTTTAAGGAAATCTGAGAAGCTGCAGGCTCTGGGTGTGATTTTGCTCCTTCCAGAGCCCCCCCTTCTGCTCCCTGTCCCCTTGGGACTTGATGCACCCCAGGCGTCCCAGAAGGTTCCAGAAAGCTGGGAGGCAGCGCTGCTCAGAGCAATAGCCTGGTGGGCAACATCAGGAACTTAGCAACCCCAGGCTCTGCTGTCTCCAGCTCCCTAAAATGTCACCTGCTGGAATCCTCTGCTGACTGCTTGCCTCCTCACACCCTCTTTAAATGTACATTTAGGATCTGTTTTTTGAGTTCCTGTCAAAAAACAGAGACTCTAGTATTTTCATGGTTCATCCCTACAACTGACCTGTGAGGGTAGATCGCTTCTATTTTACAGATGGGGAAACCGAGGCTCAGAGGGGTGCAGTGGTGTCACACATAAAGCAGGATGCCAGTGTCCAAACCCAGGGAGGAGACTAAGTCCCCGCCTGCCTCCTCCACACTCTGGCAGCACCTGGTATCCGCCTGGACTGGGACACCTGTCATACAAACTGCTTCCCTGCTGGAATGCGTGGGACACTCTTCCAGGCACATTCAGGTCTGACTTATACTCAGTGCCTGCTCAGGGCCCAGAGCAGAGCTGGCCCTTGCTGATCGCCTATTGAATCAATTCTGCATGAGGTGGACTCCTTAGAACTCGGGGGAAATAGGGTCACTGGGTGAACCCAGAGGACAAAACGAATGGACCAGATGATTCATACAGTCCTTTCCCAATACTGTGATTCTCATTCTAAGATTTTTTTTTTAAGATGGCTTTCAGGCCTGGCATGGTAGCTCACACCTGTAGTCCCAGTACTTTGGGAGGTTGAGGTGGGAAGAGCGCTTTGAGCCCAGTCGAGGTGGGAAGATTGCTTTGAGTTCGAGACTGGCCTGGGCAACATAGGGAGACCCTGTCTCTACAAAATATAAAATAAATTAGCTGGGCATGGTGGCACATGCCTGTGGTCCCAGCTACTTGGGAGGCTGAGGCTGGAGGTTCACTTGAGCCTGGGATGTAGAGGCTGGAGTGAGCTGTGACCACGCTACTGTATTCTAACCTGGGCAACAGAACAAGACGCTGTCCCTCAAAAAAAAAAAAAAACAAAAAAAAAAAAAAAAAACTTCCTGGAATTCAGCCTAGGGCCACTACAGCCCAGAGGCACTTCTGAGATTGTATTGGAAAGGATCATCCTCCCAAGGGTGAGCTAAGGGGCCTTGAAAAAAATTCCCCTTCTTCCTCTGAAGGTTCCCCGAAAACCAACCGACAAAAGTCAGGTTAAGAGGAGAAAAGACATACAAAAATGTATTGTAATGGGGTAATCACGGAAGAATGGTGACCCTGTAACCCAGTGGAGTACAGAGGCTACCCAGCCTTTTTTATAGGGGAGAAGGGAGATAGGGAATGCAGACAATTCTTTTGAAAGACAGTAAATCATTAGCAAGAAGGAATGGCCCTGGAGGTGAAAGGCCGACTTTAAGGGAAGGTGGAGGTGGAGCCGCACAGGGACAAAGGTTGTCCTAGGCAGATAAAGTCCCCCAGGTAATCTCTTGGCACTGTCCTCAGAAGAACAGGTAAATCTGTCTGGGTCTGGTGATGACTCCCAGTCTCTTTCTCTCTCCAGTGGTTGATCTTTCCTGGATATTTGATGAGATTACTAGAAAAAGGGCTTAACACTGGCCGGGCGCGGTGGCTCACACCTGTAATCCCAGCACTTTGGGAGGCTGAGGCAGGAGAATCGCTTGAACCCGGGAGGAGGAGGAGGTTGCAGTGAGCCAAGATAGTGCCACTGCACTCCAGCCTGGGTGACAAGAGCGAGACTCTGTCTCAAAGGAAAAAAAGACTTAACACAATTGCATTTCTTTTGTAAAGAAGTGTTCTTGGTCAGATAAGGAAATTCCAGAGAGCGTCTCTCCCTGTGCTTGTCGGGGGAACAAGACAAGCTTACAGGGACCTTGACTCTGAGGCAGCTCCTAAGGCCTCTCATCATGTCAAAGCACCAGTTGTCCTGGTATCACTTTCTGAGCCCCAACAGTGGCATGTAAAGCACAAAGGTGGAGACCTTGCCTACTACTTTGCTTTGTAAATTCCCAGTTCCTGGAATAGTGCCTGGTAGGTCACAGTTAATACTGAATGCATGCCTGAATGAATAGATGCTTCAAGGTCTCTTTCTGGGAAAAAATAATAATATTGTTAGGCTGTAATATTGCTGGGCTGATAGAATGGGCTGGAACCAAGCCACAATTCCAAACTGTCATTCTAACCAGCCTTTATTGAGAATTTACTATGTGCAGAGACTTCACGCGCGTGATTGCAGCCCATCCTGACAACAGCCTTGCAAGCTATTTTCATCTCTATTTTGCCCACATGAGCACTGAGGGACAAAGAGGATAAGTCATTTTCCCAAGTCATACAGTTAATGATGGAAGAGCCAGGATTCAAACTACAGCACTTTGAAGCCAGTCCCCACAGTCCTGACCACCACACTCCAACCCTTCTCACAGAGGGTCCAGGAGTTTAGGGGAGATGAGTTTGCGTGTATAGATCCAGAGTCTGTCCATTCAGCGACCCTAGAGGGTAAAACTCATGAGATCTGAACCCTTTTTATTTAACACAGGGAAGCAGGGACCCCAAGAGCAGGAGGGACTTGGCCAGGCTATGCCCCCCATTGGAAAGAGAACCTCCAGTGACCCAGGGTTCCTGGCTGCCGGTCTGGGCTTGCTTTCTTTTCTAACTGTTCTCTGGGAGCCCCAGACTTCGTTAGAACAGCCCCCCACACAGTGGGTTGCTGGGGTGCAAGAGGCCAGGCCAGAGTTGTTCTGGTCCTCTAGGCTGTCCCAGGGCTGAATTTGTGGCCCTTTCGCATGCTGATTCAGCCTCCTGACTTCCCCTTCTTTTTAGTCAAGCAACAGGATGATCCAAATGCTATTCTCTCTCCTCCTGCTGGGCCAAATAAAAGCCCCTTAAAGGTGTCCACATTCTAATCACCAGAACCTGTGAATAGGTTACCTTTTTGCTACCTTACATAGCAAAAGGATCTTGCAGAAGTGATTAAGTCAAGGATGTTGAGATGGGGAATTATCTTGGATTATCCTCTTGGGCCTTATAAGAGGGAGGCTGGATGGTTGCACATACAGAAGGTGACAAAGAAAGCAGAGGACAGAGAGAGAGACTGGGAGATGCCATGCTGCTAGCTTTGAAGATGGAGGATGAGGCTGGGCACGGTGGCTCATACCTATAATCCCAGCACTTTGGGAGGCTGAGGTGGGCTGATCACCTGAGGTCAGGAGTTCAAGACCAGCCTGACCAACATGGTGAAACCCCCATCTCTACTAAAAATACAATAATTATCCAGGCAAAAAAAGTAGAGAACTTTCTCCTGCTGGAGGCAGAAGAGATGAGGCAGATGCAGAAGTCAGAGAGATGTGAAGCATAAGAAGGCCTCGGTGGATTGCAACATTAAATCAGGGGCAGATTGAGGTGGACTTCACAGGGTGGGAGCTGGGGGACCCAGCAGGGGAAAGGCACAGACTTAGAAAAGACAAACAAGAGGCTTCTGCCGTTTTCTAGAAGTTTCACTTCCTCCTGCCTACCATTAAAGCTGCCCTTTCACCTCCCACCTAAAGAGAAGCTGAGGAGGCACTGGTGACTCAGCAAAATCTAGCAAAATCCGCCTTCCCTTTGTTTCCGCGAGTCCCCCCTCCCAAACATGACGCAGCAGAAATGCAGCTGCACGAGGGGATGAGGAAATCGCGACTCAGCATTCCCAAGGCGCCTTCAGGAAACAGAAGTGGTTTGGGCAGCAGGGAGGGGGGCGGGTCAGTGACTCGCCAGCCCCTAACAGTGAAAAACAAAGGCGAGGCCCTGGCGTGGGAGGAATCATGGGGAGGCCTCTTGGCCAAGCTGGATGGTGGCTAAGGAGAGTGAGGAGACCTTGCCTGGATATTCTCCTCAAGCAGGGGACGTCCCCAGTAAATAAGGTCACAGACGGTGTCCTGACCACACCCACACCCCACACAGACCCAGAAAGAACATGTGCTCGATTCTGCAGGGCAGGGGCTCCAGTGAGGGTCTACAGCCTAACTGCTGTGTGACAGGCTGGAAAACAGCCTTCTTCAGCAAGGAAGACAAGCCCAAGTTATTTTTTAAAAATCCATAGACTGGGCCAATTGTGGTGGCTCACGCCTGTAATCCTAGCACTCTGGGAGCTGAGGTGGGTGGATCACCTGAGGTCAGGAGTTCAAGACCAGCCTGGCCAACATGGTGAAACCCCATCTCTACTAAAAATACAAAAATTAGCCGGGCGTAGTGGCAGGTGCCCGTAATCCCAGCTACTCGGGGGAGCTGAGGCAGGAGAATCGCTTGAACCCGGGAGGTGGAGGTTGCAGTGAGCTGAGATTGCACCACTGCATTCCAGCCTGGGTGAAAGAGCAAGACTCCATCTCAAAAAAAAAAAAAAGAAAAAGAAAAAAATCCATAGGCTGAAGTGCAAAACACCGAACCCTTCTGATGCCAAAACACCCCATAAATAAGGTTGAAACCCTACCAACAGACTGGAAGGAAGTGTTTGCCACACATAT